>NC_000001.11:231032606-231184121 GCF_000001405.40 Homo sapiens
TTGAGAGTCCCAAAGAGCTTTTGTTTATGTGAGCTATACCTGTCAATATTTACCTTATTAGAAATTAAAGCTGAGAAACTTTATTAATCCATTTAGGTTAACCAAATCACCCACCTAAGAATACACTCGCTTTCACCTGCATCTCAGTCACCTTCTTCCTCAGCCTAGGCTCTCCTGGCTGGGACAGGCCTGGGGTTCCCCAACAATTACCCGCTGACTAGGGAGCTCTGGGCAGAGGACAGAGGCCCTCCCTTCTCCCCAGATCCCTCCACTGGTCAAAGATGGTGCCTCCCTCCCGAATCCTTGAGACTCAGAAAGCGCACACCTGCAAAACTAGGCCAGCTCATGGCTGTCGGGGCCAATCAAGGAAGTGAACAGAGAGTGCCCACAAAAACGGGAAAGGCCACATGTCTTAATGAATTTCTGTAGACTTCTAAAGTAGGCTAAAGGTTTTTCTGTCTCCAGAGTTCCTGGGAGAGGGTGACCATCTGTGTTAAGTGTCTGTGGGGAACGAGCCACAGGAAGTAGTGAGCAGCCTTTATGACTCCTGTCTAATCATCACTTCCAAACATTAGGAACACGTGGGCAAAGGCCAAGGCGGCCAGGAGGCCAGGGCTCCATATGGAGAATGACACTGGCAACGGGGGCAAATATCTGAGCAGCCAGCCTCGGGGGATCGCTTCCTGAGCATGGAGTCTGTGGTCTGTCTGGTTTCCTCCACAGCATTATGAAAAGCTTGGTTTTTCAAAGTGGGGTCTAAAGTCTCCATGGAGTTCCTGCAGGCATTCCCAGAGCGAAACTGCGAAACTTCCATCTGCAGCTTGGTGGGAGTGAACTGCAAGCCAGGCATGGTTCCCTTCTTGAACCCTCCCTAAACATCCTTGCCCACCTGGCCTCAGGGGGCTACAGCCATGTCGGTGAGACCAGGACCCAGAGCAGGGGAGGCACCGCTGTCTGCAAGGTACAGAAATGCCAGGGCTATTGCTCACTTGAGGCTATCTGCAAATGAAGAGGTGCCCACACTGCCAATTATTGGGGCACCTTTACATTTACATTGAACAGATGCTTACCTTTAAACAAAAGGGAAAAAAAGGAGAAGGGTTGTAAGATATTTATGAGTTAGGAAAAATATCAATTTATAGTACTTTGCAGGTAGGTACAGTAATAGAGCAAAGTTTAAAGTGGTATTTTTACTTTTAATCCTTTATATCTTCAAATCTCGGGAGAAGAACTCTAACCTCACTTGGAGATAGCATCAAGTGAATGAAGCCAGGCAATGACCCACACACTGCCCTTACTGTCCCCCACCCCACACCAAAGACATGGGCATGCTTTCATACACACAAACTAATATATATTCTTTTTTCAGTTTTTGCTTTTATAGGGTGGACATTGGGATGGGGATGGGACAAGTACAGGGTAGCAGTGGCCTGAAAATCTTAATAACTGGTGTAGACAGCCTAATTTTTGATGAACTGAGCTCAAGAATAGCAAACTTGTACCTTTCTTCCTTTTCTGCTTCCCATTCTTTGCATTCAAGGAATTCACAGCAACTAGGTATAGCTGTGAAGTGTCCTTGGGGACCCCAAGCAATATGCTTGGTGACAGGCCCCGCACGTGTGCCCAAAAGTTATGACAGAGCCAACTTCTTCTGTAGGCATCAGAAAGAACCATAGAGGCATGAGGGGTAAAGAATACTGCCATGGCCAAAAGGACCCTTTATGGCATTTAATTCTCATTTTCCCAATAAGAGATTTTAGCCCAAAAGAGTGAAGTGGCTTGTCAGAACTGTATCACATAGTTTATTAACACCAAATTCGAGCTTTTGATCCTTGATTCATGTGCTTCTCCAGTCTTAAACGGCTTGTTAAAAATGCAGATTCCTGCTGAGCACAGTGGCTCACGCCTGTAATCCCAGCACTCTGGGAGGCTGAAGCGGGCGGATCATCTGAGGTCAGAAGTTCGAGACCAGCCTGACCAAGATGGAGAAACCCCATCTCTACTAAAAATACAAAAAGAGCCGGGCATGGTGGCGCATGCCTGTAATCCCAGCTACTCAGGAGGCTGAGGCAGGAGAATCACTTGAACCCGGGAGGTGGAGGTTGTAGTGAGCCGAGATCGCGCCACTGCACTGCAGCCTGGGCAACAAGATAGAAACTCTGTCTCAAAAAAAAAAAAAAAAAAAAAAAGGCAGATTCCTTCTCCCAGCTACTGATTCCAGAAGCACAGAATGTGGCCCTAAAATCTGCATTTGGGCAAGCAGCCTAGGAGATTCTGGAGCTGGCGGTCCATCCTTTGGGGATCGCTGTGCTAGACTATGCTAGTGGAAAGACTAGTGAAAACAGACAGTATTAAAGGCCGCTAGACATCCCCAGTCTCCTCTGACCAACGCCAATCAAGAATGCTGCACTAGGAGCGAATCCCCTTATTCTAAATGGCACTTCATAGCCTGACTCAATCACAGCCTCTTAAAGACTAAAACTTCCTCTGTAAGACACTGGTTTCACATAAAGGATAAGGACTGTACTCCACTGGGGTGTCAGCTATTCCAGCTAATGAGCTGGAATCCAGTTCACTGGACAAGCTCATTAGGCATTTAGTTGTTTCAACTAAAATGTAGGAAGGCTAATTGTTACTAGTTTCACAAATTCAACTTTTTTTTTCCTTAGGTTCAATTCTTTACACAACATTGCAATTTGGGAATTCAAAAGTTCTGTGTGGATGACTTCCCACTCTGCACAGGTGGGAGACCAAAATAACTGATAGTTTAAAGAAAAAAATGAGGCGAAGAGATTCCAAATCAAAGCTACTAGACCTTGCTGCTGACTGTGGGAGCAGCTGAACCCAAGAATCCCCAGGGATGCTGCTCCTCAAAGATCTCCTGCCCCCAGGGCTGAAGGTCTTTGTGTCTCTACACTCTAGTGTGACTTCTGGTTACCTGTAAGGTTGATGATCTAACCTCGCACGGGTGCTGGGAAGGGCAGTCTATGTAAAAATCTATGCAAGGACTGGTGTGTGCCAGGGGTCCCAGCTGACACCCAGTCAGGGACATCCTTCAACCACATGCAAATATTTTAAAGGCCAACCAAGATCTAGTTAGCCAAGCTAGCCATCAGCTTAGCAGATAAAAAATCTTTCAAATTGTGGGACCCTTGAGGGCAAAGTATTTTTATATAGAACGGGGTCTGCAGTAGATGTCTACTACTTTACCCCTTGCTCCATTTTTGCAAACTGTCCTTTCTTTAGAGAATCCCCAGTGTCCGACTCCATCCACATGCTCACACCATCTTATTAAAATACAATCTTGTCCTTGTCACTGTTGGCTGGCCCAGGCTGGCCAGGCCACCTAAGCTAGGCCAATTGGCATCCTTCCACAGTATTTGCAAACTGCAACTAAGCAGCAAGGCCAAAATTGAGGGTGGCCACTGTTAGAGGCCAGGTTCCAAAATGGAGGGAAAAAACAAAACAGAGGAGGAGGGGAAGAGAATACCTCAGTGGACTTCCTGGATTCCCCATAAGCCCTAGTTCTAGCCTGTCTCTGTATACATCCAGTCTATAAGATTGTCCTTTTGAAAAAGCTAGTTCAAACTAAGTTTCTATTACTAATATAGAGTCTTTGGTCATGAAAAATGAAAACTAGTCTAAACTAAAGCAATTCTTTTTCTGTAAAGATGCCCACATCTACCAGGTGTGATAAGCCCCTTAACATCTAGATATTTCCTATTCACCCTTAAACCATCCACAGTACTTGCTATCTAACATACACCCAGTAATCATCTCTTAAACGTGATCTAAAGATATTCTCTGATGTAAAAATCATCATCATCAACTTTTTCAAAAGGACTTTTTTGGTCTGTAGAGCAATAACTATCTGTGTGACCCTTGAAGCTTTCCAAGTGGGCCCTTCTGGGGAGGGGACGAGGACTTACGAGTAGTGCAGAATTTCACAGGGGTTACTAGAACAGGAAGTGTTGAAACGTGGAGCTGAAACCACAACTCTCCAAGCAGAGGAGGGCATCAGCAGTCATGAGACAGACCCTTCTCAGCCCTGGGCTCCAGCTCTCCCAGCCTCCACCCTCGGCATCCGAATGGCCTCTCCTCCCATTGAGATGGTATTACTCCCTCAGCTCCAACCATCTCTTCTACTGGCTATCTCCAGACCAAAACCTCTCTTCCAGCTTCCAGCTCCACATTCTGAAATGTTTAACATGCTCTTCAGCTGATGCGATGACAAATTACCTTCCTCCCTAAAGCAGCTACTCCTCCTGACTCCCCAAGTGCCATAATGAACCCCACTTTACCAGTGATTGATTATTAAGCTTCAAAACCTTGCTAACTGCCATACAGTGGTATACTACACACTCACTGAAGTCATTATAATATATCTTGACTGGGAAAATAATTGCAATGTGCAGCCCAAAAAGCAAACCAAAATATATGTGATCAATGTGTTGTATATATGTATGTGTGTGTGTGTGAGAGTGCATGCATGTGCACAGACAGCAGACTGCAATGGTTAAATAGGGCTTTGGAGCCAAAGAGACCTGGTAGGGTCTGTGACCTTATGGGAGTTCAACTCTCAGCATCCAATTCTTTAATATAAAACAGACTTTGAGTATCTATCTCATGGAGAATTTATACCATTAAATAAGATACTATATAGAAAGCACTTACATTGCACCTAACAGAAGATATCCCAAAATACTAAAAGTGATTATTTCTAGGTGCTGGCACTGTAATTTTTAATTTTTTGCTTGGCTACATTTTCCATGAAAAAGCTTAAGTTATCTTTGATCCCCTTTTCATCATCTTCCTTGACTCAGTAATTCCTCCAGCTTCGGCTTCAGAAAAGTGTCTCCCACATGAGTCTTGTTTCACATTAGCAAGCCCCCTACCCTGCTGGGGACTCCATCACCTCTCCCATGAACACCTCTCATCTTCCTGTTGAGCCTCCAAAGTCCAGCTCTCCCTTCTGCACCCTGCTGTAGAATTCATTTCTTCAAAGTCCAACTGGGATAATACCATTCTCCTGCTGAATGCCCATCCTTGCTACTCAGGCTTCTCAGAGTCCACTCGGTCCACCTGCCCAGGCCCTTCTTGCTCACATTTCAAACTGGCGCACTCCCAGTTCCAGCTCCGCAGCTACCTTCCTGGTGCCTCTTTCCCTTGTCGAAATTCTGTCGCCTTCTGAGGTCTTCCACACCACCCTGCTCCCTGTCCCTATTAGAAGTTGCCCCTCTTTCTATGCTTGCTTTAAAAAAAAAAATTTCTTTAAGGCATTTATCACATTCTACCATGACATCTAGTTATGTCCCCTGCCACAGATTTGACGTCAGGCCTTCAATTTAAACAGATCAACACAAACTATTTTGCAGATATCTCAGGAATGAACTCCCAGTTCTTGTTTTGCAAGGCCTCCCCAGAGGGAGTCTCAGCTTGAGTTGTCCACTCAGACCCCATGGCCCCAAGTCAGTAAATCAATTAAAAAGCCGAAAGATTCTCTGGGCAACTTTAAAGGCCTTGTGACATTTCTTGAAAGGAACTTGTCAAAACCTGCAGCCATATCTTATCTTTATCTCAGCTAAATACCAGGCAGACCAAAGATGGCTGTTTATTTTTCTTGTGCTTCAAATAGGCTTACAGAGAGCTCTGGTCCAAGGCGTAATTATACGGATGTGGTTGTGCTTCAGTCACACCAGGAGGGACCTGGAAAAATACTTCTGGGAATGGCACGTTGACTCCCAAGCCACCATAGCAAGACTCCAGAGCATGTTTATAAACCACAGCTTCACAACAGGAGCGGCCCCGAGGTTTTTCTATCTCTTGCTCAAGTATGGAATTTAAATAATCAAAGATGATCTTCCTACTTCACCCCCGTGGTTCTGCTATGTCCAAGTTCAGACTGTAAACACACTACGTGTAGATTTATCTAATTAAAATGCAGTTCACCAGCTGTGTGATGCTTATGTCAATGAATGTTTTTTAATAAATTAAAAACGGTTGGCTTGGAATTTAAGTGGTTCTGTAAGAAGCTTAGAAAATCTTTTCAGTGAGAATTGGAAATCACTTCAATGCCAGCTACAGAGTAGGAAGACAATATCTCTTTGATTAAAAGTGTTAAGGCTGCTTTCTGAATTCAATTAAGTCTTAGTTTTCAGAACAGATAATGCTCCTGAAAAAAAAGTATGCATACCCTGAATTTTTCTAAACAATATCTTAAATGCACTAGATACATATTTAAAAGATTCCTATAACAATTTATTTTTTGGCAAATTTAGTTTTGGGAAAAGGCAGCTTTCCTAATGTTAGATTTCTTAACAATTTACCTATAGGGAAAGGAGACAACCTGGACGAGGTGAATGGAAAGGGAGGCTTTTAAAACGAGGGGATTGGGAGGAGGTGATGGGGGCCAGTAAGATGGTAGAAAAGAGGAAAAGTTTTTGATTTCTTCTTGCCTGGCCTACGCCTGGCCGAGAAAGCTGGGGAAAGACTCGCTGTTGCCTAAATCCCTGCCCTTGTCCTACTTTTAGCGTCACCCTAAATCATGTGTGTTCTGGTCCACAAACAGCTAATGTACTTCCCAAGCACAGAGAAACACTGAGCCCATGGTATGGAGCTTAGACACAAGGCGAAGAACTCACATGGACAGCACCCAGACCGGGAGGACAGCCACCTCCCACCTTTCTCAAGAGGGTTTGGGCAATCAGCTTCGCGGGGCTGAGGGACCCGGCCGCCTCCCTCGCCCGGGGTGCGCGTCTGCTTTCGCAGCCATCTGTGCGCCGGGGCCATCCCGCGGTAATCGGATCACGGACGCGCGGCCTGGGGCGCCGGAAAGGGGGCCGGGCTGTTCCAATCTGCTGTCTACACTGGCGGCGGACAAAAGTTGTCCTCTTCGTGGTAGGAAAACGCAATCGCGTTAATCCGTTGGGCCGCTGTGAAAGCCTTTCCCCCACCGGGAAGGTCTGTTTCACTCGGGGAGAGGTGACAAGGCCGCCCCCGCCCCCAGGCCAGGCACGAACCCCGCACAGCGCTTCCGGGCGCCCAGGTTTCCGAGCCAGCGGGGCCGGACTGAGGGCGCCGGGCATAAGAAAGCCGCCCTCTGCGCGCGGGGCTCTCCCGCGGGGGTTCCAATCGTGGGCACGGAGCACGCGAGAAAAATGGGGGTCGTTGGGAGGACGGCGCCGGCGCCTGGGGCGGAGGAGCCCGAAAGGGCGGGTGGGCGCGGGGACTTCCGGACAGAGCGCGGTCCCCGCGAACTTTCCCGGGACGGCGAGCCCGGCCGGGAAGAGCCCCAGCTCGCGGAGCCCCACTCACCATCTCTTTGCGGAGCAGCGCCAGAGCGGCGTCCAGGTTGGGAGGCTTGGCGGGCAGCGCTGCCGCCCGGGCCCCGCCGCCGCCCGGGCCCCCGCGGCTCAGCTCGTCCTGGATGCGCGACTTCTGCGCGTACAGCCGCTCCAGGTGCCGCCAGCCCCCAGACGCGCCGCCGCCCGACGCCGAGTGCAGCAGCCCGCTCAAGCTCTTTGGCAGCGGGGGCAGCCCGTCCACCCGCAGCCCCCGGACCGCGCCGTTGCCCGCGGCCCCGGGCGCCGCCCGGGCCCCACTCATCGCGCCGCGGCCCGGCCACGCGCCTGCCCCGCTGCAGCGAACCAAGGCTTTCCCCCGGCCCGCCCCCTTCCCGGCGGTGCCCCGCCCACTTCCCCTCCCGCGCCACGCCCCCCCGGCCCCGCCCCCTCTCCTCGAGGCCCCTGCGCGGGCCCCGGGTCCGGGTGGCGTCCGCGTCCAGCAGCCGGGCTCGCCTCCACCCGGGTCTCCTCCTCCCTCGCGCCCCTCCAGCGCCCTAATTCATCTCCAACTCCGCGTGACTACCCTCTAACCCCCCGACTCACCTCCAGCCCCGTCACGAACCCTTCTGTGCCACTCCCTAGCTCCGAACCTACTAAGCCCCCCGCGACCCGCAGCTTCCCGGTTCACCCCCATCTCTGTCCCCACCTCCTCTGAACCACCTCCCAGCTTCCCGGCTCACCCCTAGCTCCGAACCCTCTCACCCGCGCCACCCCGAACCCCAGCTTCCCGGCTCACCCGCATCTCTGTCCCCACCTCCTCTGTGCCAACCCCCAGCTTCCCGGCTCACCCCCAGTTCCGCCCCCACGCCCTCTGTGCCACCCTCAGCTCACTGGCTCACCCTCAGCTCCGAACCCACTCACCCCCCACCCCAGGCTTCCGGATCACCCCCATCTCTGCTCCCACCTCCTCTGTGCCACCCCCAGTTCACTGGCTCGCCCCCAGCCCCGTCTCCACTCCCTCTGTCCCACCCCTCAACGCCCGCTCACCTCCAACCCGGCTCCAGACTTCCCCCTTACCTGCCAGCGCTCCTCAGCTCCTTGCCTCACCGATCCCTGCCCTGCCCAGGGGGCGGCCCAGCTTCAGATCCCACGAAGCAGGCCGTTGCAGGGGGTGGGGGTACCGAGGCTCTGGCTCACAACCGGCAGGACGTCGAGGGCAGGAGGCCTGGCTCTGGTCCCAGGACCCCCGGCCCTCCCCGAGGGCGGAATCCAGCCCGCCTCCTGCTGCCTCCCACTCGCCGCGGGGGGCGGCTGGGGGCCCCAGACCCGGGCAGGTCGCTCCTTGCCGCCGGGCGCGCTGGCCTTCTCAGCACGGCCTTGTCCAGCAGTACCCGCAGCAGTCAGCAAGAACGCCAGACCCACTTTTGAAACTTCAAAACACTAGTAAACATGCCTTTCATTCTGGCCATAAACACAAGAGTAACTCTAAGTGGAAATGTCAGGAAACCAGAGAAAGGGATTAAATCTCGGAAATTATCCATCAGCTCAGGCAAAAATAAACACGACGCACACCTCAGAGGAAAAGAGAAGAGAGAGAGAGACTCTGCCCCTCCCAGGAAAAGTAAAAATGACAGGCAGTTATAACCAGATTAGAGATAGAAAAGATCAAGAAGTAAACGCTACAGCCCAACCGCAGATTAAAAACTAATGCAGTGTATAGATTGGATAACTTTAATGCCCATTCATTATTGGCTTTAATTATAAAGGGATTTAATTTTCTAGCTACATTCAAGGGGATCAAAATTATAAAGTGTTCTGAGCACTTCAGACACCCAACATAAAAGAGCCCTGCACTTTGGGTTGTTTTATACCCTTTACCACCTCCTAGAGCCCACCCCAGAAGCAGTGTCTTTGAAATTGGCACAATATTCTCCCTGGACGGTTGCAAGTGGGTGAGACTGATATGAAGAAGCTTTAGTGCAGGCGGTGTGATTGACAGCACCCAGGCTTCCCACCCCACCCACTGCCCAGAATTTTCCGCCTCTTCACTGTGCCTCACCTTCTACTAATTACCTAGTCACATTTCTGGATGTCAGGTATTTATTCATTCACTTATGTAAACGGTGGGTGTCTTCAGGAGAGTGACCAGTCTGCCTGTGTGGGAGTAAGGGAGAGGAAGGGGTGGGAAGCATTTTGACATTCGGTTCACACCTTAGCATGAATTTTTTTTTTTTTATGAGACAGTCTATCACTCAAGCTAGAGTGCAGTGGCGTGATCTCAGCTCACTGCAACCTCTGCCTCCTGGGTCAAGCAATTCTCCTGTCTCTGCCTCCCAAGTAGCTGGAATTACAGGCATGTGCCACGACGCCCGACTAATTTTTGTATTTTTAGTAGAAATGGGGTTTCACGATGTTGGCCAGGCTGGTCTCGAACTCCTGACCTCAGGTGATCCACCCACCTCGGCCTCCCAAAGTGCTGGGATTACAGGTGTGAGCCATCGCGCCCAGCCTGCATGAATTTCTTTAATTTCACTGGTTACAATGCAGTCTCACCTGTAGTACCTAGCAGAAATCACTCAAGGTAGGTGATAGGAGATTCAGCTATGTGATGGTGAAATAAGAAAAGAAATCACTTTGAAGTATCGGGGCACTGAAAGCATTTTAAAGCACATACTTCAGAGAATTACGGATTACAGAAGGAAAAGGAGGTTAGGGTCAGCTAGACAGCAGCATGAGGTCCGTGGTGTCAGGACTCGAGAAAAGAGGCACAACTTAGACAATGCCAACCTTACCAATTTTTTTTTTCTTTTTTGAGATGGAGTCTCACTCTGTCGCCCAAGCTGGAGTGCAGTGGCGCGATCTTGGCTCACTGCAACCTCCACCTCTCGGGTTCAAGCAATTCTCCGCCTCAGCCTCCCAAGTAGCTGGGATTACAGGCACCCGCCACCATACCCATCACCATCTTGGCCAGGCTGGTCTTGAACTCCTGACCTCACGATCTACCCACCTCAGCCTCCCAAAGTGCTGGGATTACAGGCATGAGCCACCACGCCAGGCCAACCTTAACATTTTAAAGGCAGGCTCTGCGTTCTGGCCTATACTCAGTGAGGTAAGAGTATTGAAATCAGTATCAACAAATAATATCCCAGGGTAAGGAGAAGTTTCTACAGAATTTCTGTGGTGCTGGTGAAGACATTATTTGTACAAGCCTGAAACTATTATATAACAAATATTTTGACATCCTTGGGGAATGTTAGTGTCTGTTTATTCAAATGCCAATATAAAGTACCTTTTAAAGTTCATGCTTATAATGAGAGAGAAGTAGTAAATAACTTCTGACAGTGTGTTTTTTTGCATTAAGCCACTGAAACATTACCTTAGTCCATTTAGGCTGCTATAACAAAATACCTGAGACTGGATAATGTGTAAAGAACAGAAATGTATTGCTCACAGTTTTGGAGGCTGGAAGTCCAAGATCAAGGCACCAGCTGACGTGTGTGCTGAGAGCTCATTCCTCATAGATTTCACCTTCTGGGTGTCCTCACATTGCAGAAGGGGCCAGGGAGCGCCCTCAAGCCTCTTTTACAAGGGCACTGATTCCATTTACAAGGGCTTCACCTTCATGACCTAGACACCTCCCAAAGATCTCACTTCAATACCACCACATGGGGGTTAGGTTTCAACATATGAATTTGGGGCTGGCAGGGGGCACATACATTCAGACCATAGCAAAACATCTGTATTCTGAGTTCAAATCAGAGTGAGTCTTCATCATCACCCATGCAGCTGAATTAGTCTTTTCTGTTTTGTTTTGTTGTTCACAGGCTCTTGGAAATCAGAAAACACAAACTTCTAATCCAGTGCTCTATTCATTAACCCACATCTTTTCTTAGACTTTGTCAATCAAGGTTAGGGACCTGGGCCTTGGAGCACAAGCCTCAGAGTCACCAGTATCCAGGCATTTACTTAGAGATTATTCTCATGTGCCTCCATCCTGACCTTCCATTAACCCAGCCACTAGGTTCCTCCCCACCTCTAATCTCTGCCCACTTGTTGTTTGCTTTTGGGAACTCTAAAGAGTCTTTTTGTGCGTTTTATTTATTTTTGTTTTTTTTTATCATTCTCAAGTTTAATAACTTAGGTTGTTAATAGACTAGAAAGAACCTGAAAAAGACACCAGAAGTCCAACTGAGCTTGCCTTTTCAAGCTGATGACTTTAAATGCCGCTAACTATAGAGAAGTTTATCTTGCCATTTTTCATTTGTTGCAGAACCTAAAACTAGATTACTTTGAAAGCAACTGTGCAATGAATTTGGGCTACATTTTAGCAAATGTGTTTATTTCAAGACATAATTTCTTATATTTCAATCATTTCTAAAACAAATTGTAAATTTTAAAGGTTATATAATGCCTCTTAAAGATTTTTGTATGCAACTATGTGTACATATAAATGGGAAACTTGGCATTTAATCATAGAGTCCTTTATATAGTTTTTAAATTGTTGCCTTGTCACTTCAACAATATTTTTTATTTGGCCAGAGACAAGGATGATACTTTCTTTGCTATAGCACAATGCTGGGCACCTAGTGATAGCAAATATATATATAAATGGACATACTGTTCAATGTAATTTGTTGAGTAATTACTGTTAAAATAATTAATTGGGAGGTCATTAGGCTGAGGCAGCTCCAGTGCTCTGGGTTCCTACTTAAGCAAGTTAAAACCTAATTCAGTGTAAACAGTAAAACAAAACAAGCTTAACCAATCAGAAACCTCCAACTAACCTCTAACTAGGGGCTTTCCACTGGAATGATCCAAATAAGGCCATTGCTCCACTTTAACTGATCAAATATTTTCTTTGCCTTGCTTCCTCATTCACCCTATAAAAGCTTTTTCCCTCCTGCCCCTTTGTCAGAGCCTAGAACCACTTGCGGTCTGGAGCTGCCTGATTTATGAATCACTTTTTGCTCAAATAAACTCTTTAATATTTCAATGTGCCTCAGTTGGTCTTTTAACACTACTGTGTGTAAACCACACTGCAAAGCTCTATGATGAACATGCATGAGGGTCAATCCATGACTTCAGGTGACTTACACTTCATCAGGGGAGATCATGTAGGAGGCATCATGATAGAAGTACAGTTCAAACACTGTGGCAGTCCCAGCAGGGCAGGATTCATTATGGAGTTCAGAACATGTATAACAGAAAACTGTTCACTTAAAGTAGGCTTGAAGGGTAAGCAGACTTTCAGAAAGTGAAGACAGACCAGGGAGAGTGGGTAGACTCCTGGTTGGTTGGAAGCTAGGCTGGAACAGTGGCTTTGACCTCAGATTGGGGAGAGTTTTGAATTCCATGCTATGAAGTTTGGACTCTATTTTACAGGCAATGAGAGGTTATATTTTAAAATAATCAGAGCATTAGAAAGATCATTCTGGCACTTTCATGTCTAATAGGCTGTATATGAGTGAACACTAGAGGGAGGGAGAATAGTTAATAGGTGAATGCAACTTTGAATTGAGAGGCAACCTGGCCTGATTTAGGTGGTAATTCAGAGACAGGAAATAGAAATCATCAGCTCTTGATACTTTATAAAGAGCTTTCTCATTTGATCCAAACAACCACTGGGGGATGAGTATGACTCAGAGTTCTACCTGACAATGAGGAATAAAGGGCTGATAAAAGGTAGTTGTATTGCCCAAGTTTGCTCAGCTAATAAACAATAGAGCCTTGCCACAGGCCATTGACTTCTTACTGGGAAGATACCAAAGGCAGAATCCATGTAACTGTTTGTGCAAAGGCTGAAACAAAGTCTGCATTTCTAGGGGATAGCCAAAACACTGGAAACGGAAGACAGGACAGGGGAGTCCGTTCCTCAAGCAGTATGTAGAAACACTGTCATTCAGGAATGAGGGAGGGAGGGAAGGAAGGAAAGAAGGAAAAAGAAAGAAAGAGGGAGAGAGAGAAAGAAAGAAAACAAGAAAGAAAAAGAAAGAAAGAAAGAAAGAAAGAAAGAAAGAAAGAAAGAAAGAAAGAAAGAAAGAAAGAAAGAAAGAAAGAGGGAAAGAAAGAAAGAAAGAAAGAGGGAAAGAAAGAGAGAAGAGGGAGGGAGGGAGGAAGGGAAGGAAGAAAGAAAGACAGAAAGAGTGAGCCAGGCAATATTACATGGTGGTTCACACGTATAATCCCACCACTCTTGTAGCAGGACAAGCTGCAGACAAAACTCATCAGACACCGGGTTAAAGAAGGAAGGAGCTTTATTCAGCCAGGAGCTTCAGCAGACTTGTTTCTCAAAAGCCAAGCTCCACGAGTGAGCAATTCCTGTCCCTTTTAAGGGCTTACAACTCTAAGGGGGTCTGCGTGAGAGGGTTGAGATCGATTGAGCAAGCAGGGGGCTGCACGCACTGGTAATTAGAACGGAACAGAACACGACAGGGTTTTCACAATGCTCTTCCACACAATGTCTGGAATCTATAGATAACACAAGCAGTTAGGTCAGGGGTTGATTTTTAACTACCAGGCCCAGAGCACACACCGGGCTATCTGCCTGTGGATTTCATTTCTGCCTTTTAGTTTTTATTTCTTCTTTCTTTGGAGGCAGAAATTGGGCATAAGACAATATGAGGGGTGATCTCCTCCCTTACTCTGAAAGGCCAAGGCGGGAGGATTGCTTAAGCCCAGGAGTTGGAGACCAGCCTGGGCAACATAGTGAGATTCTGCCTCTACAAAAAAATAAAAAATTAGCTGAACATGGGATACATGGGCTACACACCTATAGTCCCAGCTACTTGGGAGGTTGAGGCAGGAGGATCATTTGAGCCCAGGCAGTCAAGGCTGCAGTGAACCATGATCACACCACTGCACTCCAGCCTGGGCAGTACAAGACTCTGTCTCAAAAAAAAAAAAAAAGGAAGACAGAAGGAAGGAAAAAAGAAAGGAAGAAAGGAGGAAGGAAAAAAAGAAATGCAGTCAAAGGAAGTGCAGAAACCTAGAAAACATTTGGGAAGGATCTCCCAGGAGTTTGATTTTCTCAAGTGCAAGGTGAAGCACTTAGCTGTGGAGGCTTAGAGAGGCAATAGCTTGCCCTTGGGAGATAAGAACAAGCAACTTAAGGGTTTTCAACAGTAGCCAAATATAGTGGATGAGGAGATGGGAAAGTGGGGTAGAGAATTAAAGTAGCATATGTGAAAAATCGAGGCAAAAGGAGACTATGGAATAGACAGGCAAGCTGGTGGGATTAAAAAGGTGTAATGAGAAGGAAAAAAATACCTGGACTGATAGCACCCATTTATTTCACTCTCCCTCCTTCCCTCCATAACCCCTTCCTCCCTCACTTCCGTTTTTCCTTCCTTCCCTTGCTCCTTCCCTCCTTCCTCCCTTCATTTCCTCCTCCTTTTCTTCCACTCCTTCCTTCTTTTCTCTCTCCTTTCCCTTCCTCCTTTCCCTCCTCTTTCCCCTTCCTCCTCCTTCCCTCCTTTCTTCCTTCCTCCTCTCTCCTTTCCTTTCTATTCTCCCTCCTTTCCTACCTCCAGCCCCTTCCTTCCCTCCTTTCTTCCTTCCTCCTCTCTCCTTTCCTTTCTATTCTCCCTCCTTTCCTACCTCCAGCCCCTTCCTTCCCTCCTTTCTTCCTTCCTCCTCTCTCCTTTCCTTTCTATTCTCCCTCCTTTCCTACCTCCAGCCCCTTCCTTCCCTCCTTTCTTCCTTCCTCCTCTCTCCTTTCCTTTCTATTCTCCCTCCTTTCCTACCTCCAGCCCCTTCCTTCCCTCCTTTCTTTCCACCCTCTTTCCTTCTTTCTCCCTTTCTCCCTCTCCTCTTTCTTTCTCTCTCTCTTTCTTCCTTTCTTTCTTTTCTTTCTTTCCTTTTCTTTTCCTTTCTTTCTTTTTCCTTCCTTCCTTCCTTCCTTCCACTTTATTCTTTATTTTACTTTTTAGAGACAGAGTCTTGCTCTGTCACCCAAGCTGGAGTGCAGGAGTGTAATCATAGCTCACTATAGTTTTGAACTTCTGGGCTCAAGGGATCCTCCTGCCTTGGCCTCCCAAAGTGCTAGGATTACAGACATGAGACATCACAACGGCCTCCTTCCTTCCTCTTTAATCTACTTTGTGCCAGGCAATAACCCAGGCTTAAAGATGTAAATAAGTGACTCTGAGACAGTAAATGAAACCCTTTTAGAAAGAGAGTAATTATTTTTGTCAATGGGGTACTCTGCCTAAACATCGGAAATGATTGTGTGGGGCGGGGGGTCACACTCAGTGAAGCCTGCCATTAAAATGTCAAGCCTTCTTTATTTTTAGGAATCATTTTTCTCTGTGGTGGCTTCCAATTTTAATAACACTTTTACACCCGGGCACAGTGGCTCACACCTGTAATCCCAGCACTTTGGGAGGCCGAGGCAGGTGGATCATGAGGTCAGGAGATTGAGACCATCCTGGCTAACACAGTGAAACCCCATCTCTACTAAAAATACAAAAAATTAGCCAGGCATGGTGTGGGCACCTGTAGTCCCAGCTACTCAGGAGGCTGAGGCAGGAGAATGGCGTGAACCCAGGAGGTGGAGCTTGCAATGAGCCGAGATCGCGCCACTGCAGTCCAGCCTGGGCAACAGAGAGAGACTCCATCTCAAAAAAAAAAAAAAAGCACTTTTACATGTGTTACCTCTCTTCATCTCCACAAAAGTCCTTACTTAGTCAAAATATGCCACATAGGCCAGGTGCAGTGGCTCACGCCTGTAATCTAGCACTCTGGAAGGCTGAGACGGCAGATTGCCAGAGCTCAGGAGTTTGAGACCAGCCTGGGCAACATGGTGAAATGCCGTCTCTACCAGAATACAAAAAATCAGCCGTTGTGGTGGCAGGTGCCTGTAATCTCAGCTATTTAGGAAGTTGACGCACAAGAATTGCTTGAACCCAGGAGGCAGAGGTTGCAGTGAGCCAAGATTGTGCCACTGCACTCCATCCTGGGCGACAAAGCAAAACTCTATCTCAAAAAAAAAAAAAAATTATATATATATATATATCTATCTCACATAACTCGACGGAACCCTGGGTGAGCATTTCTCCCTGAGCTCATTCCAATGGCTATTTTTTCCTAGAGAATTCCTCCAAGATGTCCCTTCTACAGCTCAAATATCCTTAAGTCCTCAAACAGCTGGTCTTCTGTCAAGAAAGAGTTTTGAATATTTTGCCTCCTTTATCACCCTCCTCCACACACATACAATTTGTCAATATTTGTCTTAAAAGGTCGTGCCCATATGTAAGTGAAAAATTCCAGATGTGTTGACACGTTCTAAATAGCGGTGGCCGGCTTCCTCCACTTGACAGCCTACTTTTGAAGCACAAAATTGAATGAACATTTGGAGTGACACATCACATTTCTGCATGCTGTTGAACTTAAATCCAACTTCAGTTTTATTTAACCCCTTTCCAAGTAAGATGCACAAGAGAATAACCCCATAAGTGTTAAGATAGAAAAAGGATAAGCAAATATGTCCTTGTTTAGGTATAGGACATTTCCAAGAGGGCATGTCAGAAAATGTGGACAGTGGCTGTTAACTTCTAGAGTGTAGAGGATGGGCGTTTCTAACCCTTTACCATATACCCTTTAGTACTACAGTCATGCGTCACTTAAGGACAGGGATGCGTTCTGAGAAATGCATTGTCAGGTGATTGCATCATTGTACAAATGTCATGGAGTGTACTTACACAATCCTAAGTGGTGTAGCCTACTACGCACCTAGGCTACATGGTACAGACTATGGCTCCTAGGCTGCAAACCTGTACAGCAAGTTCCTGTACTGAATACTGTAGGCAGTTGTAACACAATGGCAAGTGTTTGTGTATCTAAATGTATCTAACCATGGAAAAGGTAGAGTAAGAACATGGTGTAAAAGATAAAAAATGGTTCACGTGCCAAGCACTATGAACGGAGCTTGCAGAACTGGAAGTTACTCTGGGCAAGTCAGTGGGTGAGTGATGAGTGAATGTGAGGGCTGAGGACATTACTATACACTGCTGGAGACTTTATAGACACTGCACACTTAGGCTACACTAACTAACTTTATGAAAAACCTACTTTCTTTCTGGTTTTTTTTTTTTTTTTTTTTTTGGAGACAGAGTCTTGCTCCATCACCCAGGCTGGAGTATAGTTGCGCGGTCTCGGTTCACTGCAACCTCTGCCTCCTGGGTTCAAGCAATTCCCCTGTTTCAGCCAGCTGAGATTACAGGTACCCGCCACCACCCGGCTAATTTTTGTATTTTTAGTAGAGACGGGATTTCACCATGTTGGCCAAGCTGGTCTCAAACTCTTGACCTCAAGTGATCCGGCCACCTCGGCCTCCCAAAGTACTGGGATTACAGGCGTGAGCCACGCACCTGGCCAAAACTTTTTTCTTCAATAATGAATTAACCCTAGCTTAATGTAACTTTTCACTTTATAAACTGTAAAATTGTTTTTGACTTTTTGACTCTTTTGTCATAGCACTTACCTTAAAACACAAACGCATTGTACACGTGTGCAAAACTATTTCCTTCTTTACGTTCTTATTCTATAAGCTTTTTCCTATTACTTTTTCTTTTTTTACTTTTTAATTTTTTTTGTTAGAAACTAAGACAAGAACACACACACTAGCCTGGGCCTATACAGGGTCAGGATCATAAATATCCCTGCCTTCCACCTCCACAGATTGTCCCACTGGAAGGTCTTCAGGGGCGATAACACACATGGAGCTGTCATCTCCTATGACCACAATGCCTTCTTCCGGAAACCTCCTGAAGGACCTGCCTGAGGCTGGTTTACAGTTAACTTTTTAAAACTATAAGTAGAATGAGTGTATTCTAAAACAATGATAAAAAGTATAGCACAGTAAATACATAAACCAGTAATATAGTTGATTATCATGATCAAATATTATGCAGTGTACATAATTATATGTGCTATACTTTTATAAGACTGGCGGTGCAGCAGGTTTGTTTACATCAGAATTACCACAAACATGTGAGTAGTATACTGCGCTACAACATAAGGATGGCTATGACATCACTAGGTGATAGGAATTTTTCAACTTCATTATCATCTTATGAGACCACTGTCGTACATGTGGTCTGTTATTGATTATACAGACCTCGAAGGAGTGTTGTGAACAGTAAATTAGAGACTGCCTATAAAATGCTTACCCCAGTGCACAGAACATACTAGGCCCTTAAAAATATTAGGTATTGGCCAGGCGCAGTGGCTCATGCCTGTAATCCCAGCACTTGGGGAGGCCGAGGTGGGCAGATCATGAGGTCAGGAGTTTGAGACCAGCCTGACCAACGTGGTGAAACCCTGTCTCTATTAAAAATCCAAAAATTAGCCAGGCATGGTGGTGCGCGCCTGTAATCCCAGTACTCAGGAGGCTGAGCGGGGTTTCTTGAGCGCAACACTATCCCAGCCATCAGTGAAAACAATCAAACAATAAACAGGATGAACGCAAAGACAGAAACATATGCCTGATGACAATCTGTTGACTCACATATTTTGTGTACATTTTGCTGTCACTTAACTATGGGATACTAGGGGCTAAGAATGCCTAAAACTGATCTGTCCAACAGGACAGCCACTATCCACAAAGGGTTCCTGAGCCTTGAAATGTGGCTAGTCCGCATGGAGATGTGCAGTCAGCATAACACGCAGTCTGGATTCCAAAGGCTGAATATGAAACAACTGTGAGATTTCTCCTTAATATTTGTTCGTATTGATTGCATGTTCAACTAATATTTTGGATATATTTCATTAAATAAAATATATTTCTAATTTCACTTGTTTATTCCTGTGGATTTTATGTTTATTTTTCTTTTTGAGTCAGGGTCTCGCTTCGTCCCCCAGGCTGGAGGGCAGTGATGTGATCATAGCTCACTGCAGCGTTGACCTTCTGAGTTCAAGTGATCCTCCCACCTCAGCCTCCCAATGTGCTGGGATTACAGGCATGAGCCACTGCACCTGGCCTGTTCCTGTTTACTGTTTAAAAACGTAAACAGCTACTGTTTAAGTTTACTTTAAAGTGACTACTAAAAAATTTATAATTACATATGAGACTTGCATTTTTGGCTCACGTTATGTTTCTATTGAACAGTGGCAGTCTAAAATAAGTCCCGGATTTCAGGGGCTTATAATTTAAATATGTATACGTGTATATATATATGTATATATAATATATATATACATATATATTTATATGTTTCCTACAGCAGCGTGACAGTGAACTGGGCTTTATTCAACTCTACAGATGAGCCCAACTGAATTCTACAATAAATCCCATGCAGCAAACAGCAGCACAGGCCAGCAAATAGGTTCCTACCTTTTTTATTCTTTCAGTGGAAAGGCTGGTACCAAAGTTTAATATATATATATTACACATATAATATATGTAATATATATTATATAATATATGTAATATACATTTTATATAATATATGTAATATATATTTTATATATATGTAATATATATTTTATATAATATATGTAATATATATTTTATATATATGTAATATATATTTTATATAATATATGTAATATATATTTTATATAATATATGTAATATATATTTTATATAATATATGTAATATATATTTTATATAATATATGTAATATATATTTTATATAATATATGTAATATATATTTTATATAATATATGTAATATATATTTTATATAATATATGTAATATATATTTTATATATATGTAATACATATTTTATATAATATATGTAATATATATTTTTTATATATATGAAAGGGTTAAGAAAAATACAATGCATTAGTGAATAGTATAAGTACCAAAACAGAGTGCTATTGACTCCAGGAGTTCATAAATGAGGACCATACATAGAAAAGCCTTGGAAAGAGTGTTAGACTTCTCTGGGCCTTTAAGGAGTTAGAGACAGGACAAGAAAGAGGCCAACATGAGTGACATCATGGAGATGAGGAGTGGGCATGTGAGCTCCCCATGATGAAAATCTAATGAGCTGAGGAACTCCGCATAAACCAGATGAGCTTTTAGAGAAGGAGGAAGCGTAAAGCACAGGTAACACAGGTACCTTTAGTGCAGGAATGATGAAATCTGTGTTTTTGTTTTTGTTTTTGTTTTTGAGACAGAGTCTCGCTCTGTCCCAGGCTGGAATGCAATGGTGCGATCTCAGCTCCCTGCAACTTCTGCCTCCCAGGTTCAAGCAATTCTCCCGCCCCAGCCTCTCTAGTAGCTGGGATTACAGGCGCCCGCCACCACGCCCAGCTAATTTTTTGTATTTTTAGTAGAGACGGGGTTTCACTATGTTGGCCAGGCTGGTCTGGAACTCCTGACCTCAGGCTATCCACCCACCTTGGCCTCCCAAAGTGCTGGGATTACAGGCGTAAGCCACCGCGCCCGGCCACAGTCTGTGTTTTACAGGGTTAACACGGCAGAGGTACAGAAGGGATGCAATGGGGGAGGAGAAGGAGCTGACACACTGGAAGAAGGAAAGAAAAATTAAGAAGCTAATGTTTTATTAAGTCCAGGAGTTTGAGGCTGCAGTGAGCCATGATTGTGCCACTGCACTCCAGCCTGGGCAACAGAGTGAAAGTCCGACTCAAAAAAAAGAAAAGAAAAAAAGGAAGGAAGCTAATGTTTTAGTCTGTGCTGGAGTTAAAGCTGCCCCCCAGATCAAGGGCCTGGCTGTCAGGATGGAGAAGAGAGGGTGTGTGTAGAGCTTGATGACTGGTTGTGTATAGAGATTTGAGAATTATCCTCAGAGAACATCTATTCACGTTCCCTTTTTTATCCTGAATGAATGTGAATTGAGAGAATGACTCTAGCGGTCACTGAGACTGTCACACAAAATAAAAGTCATTCAGTTGACAAAATTCAAATGGAAACAATTCATTCAAAAGCTCCTTCTTAACCGCAGCCAGCATTTCCAAGAATCCTTTGGTTAGGACACTGTTTGCAAACCCTGTTCAGATAACAGATTAGCTGAAACTAAAACTTGGCGAGTTTCCACACTTGGCACTGCTCACTATTTAAATGAACATTGAATAATGGGGTTAAAATTCACTGAACAGAAAGTGGAAGAAGACCAAAAGCTCTCAGTGCACGCTGGCCAGGAAACTGCACGAAGAGCAAAGGGGAACTGGACTGTAAATAGAATCAGGAGCACCAGACAGAATTAATTTACACAAAGTCATCAGTGTTTCCTACAGCAGCGTGACAGCAAACTGGGCTTTATTCAACTCTACAGATGAGCCCAACTGAATTCTACAATAAATCCCATGCAGCAAACAGCAGCACAGGCCAGCAAATAGGTTCCTACCATTTTTATTCTTTCAGTGGAAAGGTTGGTACCAAAGTTTAATTAACTAGTGAAATAGTTTTACATACTCCCTCCAGATGCATCTGTCATAAATTGAAAATAACTTTTAAAGTGATGGCCTCCCTTCTACTCTAGAGACCTTGAGATCTACCATTCTTAATTTATTTTTTTCACCTAAGTGGTTCATTCACTTATTATTAATTCTTATTTATTATTTATTAAACATCTACTATGTGCCAGCCACCGTGTTGTGTGGTAGAGACACAAACTAACCAGCAGTTCCTCCCCTTAAGATACACAGGAGACCAGCATGTAACCTCACAAGTTAAATATGCACAATTGGTCCTATGATCGAAGTGGGGCAGATGATGCCCAGCTTCCTGGGTGCAATGGCAAGGCACTAAATGCTCAGGCAGGGGGATTTGTACAGCCCATCCTCAGTATTCACAGGTTCTGTATTTGCAGATTCTATACTGTAAATTCACCTTCTTTTTTTTTTTTTTTTCTTGAGATGGATTCTTGCTCTGTTGCTCAGGCTGGGGTGCAATGGTGCAATCTCGGCTCACTGCAACCTCCACCTTCCAAGTTCAAGCGATTCTCCTACCTCAGCCTTCCAAGTAGCTGGGATTACAGGTATGCTCCACTACACCCAGCTAATTTTGTATTTTTAGTACAGATAGGGTTCTACCATGTTGGCCAGGCTGGTCTCGAACTCTTGACCTCAGGTAATCTGCCTGCCTCAGCCTGCCAAAGTGCTGGGATTACAGGTGTAAGCTACCATGCCTGGCCAACAAATTCACCTTCTTGCTAATATTTATTTGTAACCTCAAGATCAATACTTGTGACAGTTTTGGGGTCGCTTGTGGATATAAGAGTGGTAAAAATTTTGAGTCACCTGATGCACACATTCCCAGCTGAGGTGGAATAAGCCAACACTCTGCCTCTTGTTTCAGTTCTTGTTTTGTAAACAAGTGTCCTTTTTGCAGTCTACTTAATACCATGTTTTCCCCATTTTGTGCTTTTCGTAGGTGATTTCTCTGTTTAAAATGGCCCCAAGCATAGTGCTGAAATGCTATCTAATGTCCCAAAGTGCAAGAAGGCTGGGATGCACCTCATAGAGAAAATGTGTGTGTTAGAGAAGCTTCATTCAGGTATGAGTTATAGTGCTGTTAGCCATCAGTTCAATGTTAATGAATTAGCAGTGTACATTAAATAAGGCATCTTTAAACAGAAACACTCATGAAACAAGGTTGTGCCTTAATGGACTGACAAAAATGCTGGAACAGAGGCTCATAGGAACATTATCCTATATTTTCATTTAGGAGCAATGGCTTAATATTCATTAATTCAGTGTTCACAGCAACTTTATAGAACAGAACTACTGTGAATAATGAGAACTGAGTGTACTTTAGAAACACTCTGTCTTAGTCTGTTGAGGCTACAATGGCAAGATGCCTTAGACTGTATACTTTATAAACAACAGGAATGTATTTTTCACATTTCTGGGGCTAGGAAGTCTAACATCAAGATACCAGAAGATCTGGTGTCTGATGAAGGCCTGTTCGTCACAGATGTGTCTTCTCACTGTCCTCACATGGTAGAAGGGCAAAAGGTCTCCCTCAAGCTTCTTTTACAGGGACACTAATCCCATGCATGAGGGCAAATCCCTCATGACCTAATCACATCCTAAGGTCCCTAGTCTTAATACTGTCACACTGGGGATTAAATTTCAACCTGAATTTTGGGAAGACAAAGATTTAGGCCACAGCAGTTCCTTTTGGTGGAGTTGTGGTCAATGGGTTGAAGGGTTTGTGACTTACTGTCATTGAATTCAGTAAGACTATCCTAGCGGTTCATCTGAAAAGATGAGGGCCTACGCCAAAGTAGTAGCAGTGAGGATTAATTAATTAATTAATTCATTCATTCATGCAGCAACTATTGCTTGAACACCTATGACATGGCAGGGCACTATGCTAGATATGGGAGGTATTTCAGAGCACAAGGCAGATAAAGTCCCTTTATCGTGGAGTTTTTTATTGAGTGGGATGAAGAGGAGAGGTCAGATGGACAGATATTATGGATGGGGAACCAACAGTGACTGATTACAGTGGAAGAGAGAGAAGAAGTCAAAGGTAAGCCCAGATTCTGTGTCAGGCAGCAAGGTGAATGTGCTAATTCTCCCAAAGAGAAGGAACATAACAGGAGAAATAGTCTTCAAAGACAGTGAAGAAGTCAGTGTGATACATGTTAATTTGGAGGCCATGGAGGAATTGCCAATCAGAAGTCCAGTGGCAGGTAAACCTATGAAACCAAGAAAACCAGGTAAACCGAGGATTCAAGAAAGTAGTCACTACCCCTCTACTTCTCACCCTTCCCAAGATGAGCTCCAGGCAAGATTGTGACGTCGAGGACCACCTCTCAGCAGTTCCCTCAATCTTGGAGCCTGCCCTTTGGCTAAAGTCCCCTGTCATTCATCATGGTCCTCAGGCCATTTGCCTCTATCATATGCCCACCCTTCTTGCAAGAGGCCTCATTTCCAGCTCCTTTGGATGCCAGCTCCTTCCTCATCTTCCACAACCTCAGCCAACTTCCTTTATCCCTTCAGTATCTAGGCAGGTTTTGGTTCCCACAGTGCAGCCATTCACCCACCAGGTAGCCAACCACGTTATAAAAACAGGCCTGAAGAGGAGCAGAAGTTCTAGACAATTGCCTGAGTCCCCAGTGAATTTACTCTTGTTCTGTGCATCCCATACGCCGATCTCTCTAGCTGGCTAATACACCAGCTTCCACACCATTTCTGGCTTCCTTGGCTGTCCTTACTTTGCACCTGTATTAGTCCGTTTTCACATTGCTATGAAGAACTACATGAGACGGGAATTTATGAAGAAAAGAGGTTTAACTGACTCACAGTACCACATGGTTGGGGAGGCCTCAGGAAACTTACAATCAAAGGGGAAACAAGGCATGTCTTTCATGGAGGCAGGAGAGAGACACAGTGAGGGGGGAAGTGCCACACTTTTAAACCATCAGATCTTGTGAGAACTCACTATCATGAGAACAGCATGGTGGAAATCCACCCCCCATGATCCAATCACCTCCTACCAGGTCCCTCCCCTGACACGTGGGGATGGGAACTATAATTTGACATGAGATTTGGGTGGGGACACAGAGCCAAACTATATCAGCACCCCACTCATGTCCCCACTTTTGCAGGGCCTCCATGCCTCGGGGAAGAAGCTCCCTGCTCAATATCTGGCCTGTGGAACCCAACGGCCAGGTCAGTGTCTGAGCCTGCCAGAGGAGGATTGCAGAGACTCTGCTTCTAGTGTCAGTCAGTCTTTCAAACCAGGGCTCTTGGGGACATAGGTGGTTATGGGGAGTTGAATCATTGTTTGTATACATGCCTCATTTCCCCCACCAGTTTTCAGCTGCTTGGTGGCAGGGGGCGTGCTTTACTCATCATCAAATCATCCTCAGCCTCCAGCACAGTAAACAGCACATAGCAGGTATTGGGAAAAAATCTGTAAAGTCAAGCCCAAAGGTGGGGATTTTAAGGCAGAAGGTGATCTTTTGGCAGTGGAGTGGTGAGAGGATGCTTTGATGACAAGCAGGGCTTTTTATATCCTTTAAACTGTCCCCTCCAGGCTGCTACCCTTTTTGCCATCTATGTGGCAGTTCTGGATTAAGTTCCACGAAGCAGGACCCTTGATGTCTTGTTCTCTGCGCCATCCCCAGGCCCAGATGAAAATCTAGCCATAGTAGGCACACATCAATTCCTTGTTGAGTCAATTATCCCTCTATTTTGCTCTGCAACTCTCTCAGGTGTGATAAGAGATACAAAGAGCATTAAAGGTTAGTCTCACACTCACCAAACTCCTGATCCAGAATGTGAATGGCCCCATTTAGGAGATGAAGCCTCTGATCTTAAAATTTTATTTGGCAGAAACCAAGATATAGCTACAAACTCAGCTTTACACTTCATGCACTAAAGTATTCTTGCTTTTGCAGCATAAGGACTTCAGCCTCCGATTATTAGGTAATTGCCATGGATGATCAGTTATCTGCTGAAGGCACCTGCTTAGTGTCTTTTACTCTTCATCACTCTGCATTAGTGAATTTAATCCTACCCTCTGTGCACAACTTTTGTGTGCTCTTAAAATCAGCTTTAATATTAAGCAAATCTGTGTCTACTTTAAAAGATTGGAAACGGAAAAAAGAGATAAATTTTTGCCAAATCCTTCAAAAAAAATTCGTTTGGGGTCTTCTGCCTCTGATCATAATAAAGTCACTGGTACCAGAGTTGCTCTCCTGCTGCTAACAACTAGAAAACCAGACAAAACCTAGGAAACAGCTGTCTTCAGACATTGGTAGCAGGCAACAAGGGACTGTGGTCCCTGAGGGAACCTTAACAAGTAAGGTGAGTCCTACACTTGCCCTGGCTTCCACACGGAGACACTTTCTGGAACCCAGGCAGAGCACTGGGGGGCTCACTTCTGAAGAGATTGAGATTGAAATTTGGAGAGCGTGTGGGGCAGGGCATCAGAGAGGAGAAAGCTGTGCAGAGGGAAATCTGCCTCGGGATACCCTTGAGTCTTTGCTGAACACCTACAGCTTCTACTGATGAGCTGTCAGCTTAATGATTGCCAGAGCTGGCCCAGCGCTGGGGGAAGCTGAATTCTGACAGGGCAGAGGGGAGAGATGAAGCAGCACGCTCAGTGCATTCAGTAGAGAAACCGGAAGTTTCTTAGTAGTAGGACTCTACTAGCCCTGGGCAAAGGCATTTGTTGTATTTAAATTGACCAACTCATGAAAAGTCCTATTTCTATATTTCTCTGTGTGTGTGTGAGAGACAGTGTCTCGCTTTGTCACCCAGGCTGGAGTCTAATGGCACCATCTTGGCTCACTGCAACCTCTGTCTCCCAGGTTCAAGTGATTGTCCTGCCTCAGCCTCCCAAGTAGCTGGGATTACAGGCATGCGCCACCATGCCCAGCTAATTTTTTTGTATTTTTAGTAGAGATGGGGTTTCACTATGTTGGCCAGGCTGGTATCGAACTCCTGACCTCAAGTGATCTGCCCACTTCAGCCTCCCAAAGTGCTGGGATTACAAGTGTGAGCCACCGTGCCTGGCCTATTTCTTAATGTATAAATATACAGCTTAACTATCTTCTACACACTCAGATCCCTCAAAAACACTCTGACATCATCAGTTTGAGACATAAAGTTAACAAAGGAAAATTTATAAAATTAGAGCTTAATACCAAAAGAAGGGTTTTAGTAACTTCTATTTGTTCAGCACTGCATGATTTCTTTTTAAAATATATATTTTAATAAAAATTAAAATTTTTTTAAGTGTCAATTGTGGATAACATAAATATGAAAAGAAAGATGGTGTATAATCCCATCACTCACACAGACAACCATTCCATGCACTGTGTCATTTTAAAAGAGCACTTTCTCATACATATCTCATTTGGTCATCATGGCAACTGATTAAGCACACAGAGTGTATATGATTATGCACATTTTACAGATGAAATTAAATGGCTTGCCTAAGGACACATGGCTTAATGGCCAGGAAGCCAGATGTGGAATCAGATACTCTGATTGCAGATGCTTCTAGGCCCTGGGAGCTGCAGTTCCCAAGGAGCATATGCCCTCACACAGGCTTCGCTGACCTTTTCCAGCAAGGTATAAAAGAGGCCAAGGAAACATCTCAGCTATAACTAGCAAAGAAACTTTTTAGACTGAAAGAGTTAAGGAAAACCTTCCAGGAAAGTAAATAGAAATGCATTCAGAATGAGTCATATTTCCTTGGATCAAAGAAAAAGACTGGCTTTCATTTCACTTTTGGGTAATAGATTTTAAGAGGGAAAGAAGGACACCCTAGTTTATATCCCACACATTAATAAAGTTGCTTTCTAACCTATGAGAGTGCAGACAGCCCACATCAAGAATCACACTTGTTCAACTAGAGATGCCAGAAAAATAATAATAATAATTACACTGGGATAATTTGAGGATGAAACTAAGTAAATGACAGGGGAGGGGTCCTGAAATTTAAATTATCATTTTGGAAATCTCAGAATAGAGAATTTTTCCATTTCCTAAATCTGCTATTTTTTTAAAAAGGGGATTCATCAGTGAGTCCACCTTTTTTTTTTTTTTTTTTTTTTTTTTTAAGACAGGGTCTTACTCTGTTGCCTAAGCTGGAGTGCAGTAGTGCAATCACAGCTCACTGCAACCTCGAACTCCTGGGCTAAAGTGATCCTCCTGCCTCAGCCTCCCAGATAGCTGAGTCCACCCTCTGAAAATCATTCTTTCAGTTGTCTTTCAGTCTTCCTGGACTTTGAAAGCAGCCTGGGGAAGTCGCCACAGCCTAGCCCCTTCTCAGACTGTGGATTGCCATTTAGGTTGTTAGAGCCAAAGCTGTCCTTTTAGCCAGAATGAGTGAGTGAGTGTAAGGCAAATTCATAAAGGAGGTAAAAAGGTTTGCCTTGGTCTCATCCTCACTCACCCCCTTTGCCATCCCTGTTTTAAAAGAAATTTTCTTCTTAAACAAACACAAGGGAAGAAACACGTGACAAGCAGCTTTACATTGGGCCTGAGATTTATGTGTAAAGAGGGCTATGGGATGGATCCCCCGATACTTGGACAACAGGGGTGGTCTCTGCTCCGGCTCCAGGTCCCCTTCCCTCACTCCATTCTCTCCTATCATCCTCACCATTCCTAAGTGTGGTTTCTGCTGAGGACAAGAGGCCTTCTCATTTCCAAAGCATCTCAAAATCATGGACTACGCCAATTGCGTATCTACTCTTCCTGCATATATTAACCCTCTTATGGCGATTTAACCAGTAAGCGCTGAGGAGCACTGCACAGTTCTGCTGTCTGGGTAGATTTTGCTGCTGCCAAGAGATCAACTTCTAGAGATAAAGTACATTTGTTATAGGATATTTCCTGTTTCAGCCTTAAGATGTAGCCCATAAGACTAGGTGTGGTGGCTCACGCCTGTAATTCCAGCACTTATAGAGGCTAAGATCAGGTGGATCACTTGAGCCCAGGAGTTCAAGACCAGCCTGGCAACATGACAAAACCCCATCTCTATAAAAATACAAAAAGTTAGCTGGGCCTTGTGGCGCATGCCTGTAGTCCCAGACACTCAGGAAGCTAAGGCAGGAGAATTGCTTGAGCCTGGGAGGTGGAGGCTGCAGTGAGCCGTGTTTGTGCCACTGCATTCCAGCCTGGGTGACAGGGTGAGACCCTGTCTCAAAAAAAAAAAAAAGAGAGAGAGAGAGAAAGACCTGAGCTAGTGTGCTTAGCCCACTCACCATGGGATGCCCTGCACCACCTCCAGACAATGCAGAGAGTCCCCACCAGCAAAAAGACCCTCCTCAGATGCAACCCTTTGACCTGGGACTGCTCAGCCTCCAAAACTGTAAGAAATATATTTCTTTTCTTTATAAATTACCCAGTTTCAGGAATTCTGTTATAGGCAACAGAAAATGGACTACTAACTCTGATACTGCCCTGCACTCGTTAAGTTTTTCAGTACCCCAGTGCAGAACTGCTGAGGCCAGAGTCTAGGAGAGCCGCAATGAGGAAAGAGAGGCTGGCATGTATTCAAGAGGTCCTAGGGAAGTAGAATCACAGGAACTGGAAAATTGAATGGGAGGGAGGAGAGGAAAGGGAGAATAAATAACTGCAAGATTTCTGGACTGGGCAGCTAGATGCATGGTGGGGTGATGTGATCAAATAGGGACTACGTAGGCAGAGAAGGAGGAAATTTTGGAGTGAGACAATGGTTTCCATTTGGGTCATGTTGAGTTCAAGTTACCTGTGAGAAAATTAAGTAGAAAAGTATTATATTCTGGAATCTCTAGGGTCTAAGCTCAGAAGAGAGATAGCAGCTAGAGAATTACATGTGGGAGACATGAGCTTGGCTCGGGGAGGTGAAACCAGGTGGAGTGAGAAGAGAAGGCTAATAATGATATGCCAGGGAACACTGGCTCAGCCGTGGAGGCAGAACTATTTTGGGTTACTGATTTCCTAGACCATGGACTAAGGAATTGATCCTCTACTAGCATGTGCAAGGCTGAATCAGATGTCTCTTCTTCAATAAGGTTAGGAATTTCTTACTTCATAAAATAGGTAAAACATGAAATTCATATACCATAATGAATAATCATAATGCTACCTTATATGACTCTAACTCACAGCCTTTGTGTCTAAGGTCTTCTAAACCTAAATAGAACAGTCTCATTAAGGACAAAGCAAAAAAATAAACATCCCTGACATGGAAGAATGTGCTGCTCAAAGACAAACACTTGATTGAGACGCACAAGCGGCAACTTCTGAGCCTCAGAAACCCATTAAATGGTCTTATTCATGCATTTCTATGCACAGAAGTCTTAAGTGCTTAGGGGATCTTTTATTTTTTACTCCTCACTTCCATGCATTCATTTCTGAAGCCCTATGACATCATTAGATAAGCATCAGATGAGAAAATGCATCCCATGGTTTACCACAGGCAGAATATTCCATATATAATACTTAAGATAGCATTTTCCCACTGAACAGACCAAAGAATCCTCAACAGGCATATGCAGAAGCGGTCAAACAAGGGTTTTTCCCAGCACTCTTGGATGTTCTTTGAAAGGGCTAAAGTCAAAAGAATAGTAAAAATTTTTCCCAAATGTTATAGACTGAGCAATATCCCCCAAAACCTCATATGTTAAAATTCTAATCCCTTGTGCTTTAGCACGTGACCTTATTTGGAGTTAGGGTCTTTAAAGAGGTAATTAAGATAAAATGAGATCACTAGGGTGGGGTCTAATCCAATATGACTGATGTCCTTTAAGAGGAGGAAATTTGAACCTGGCCGGGCACGGTGGCTCACGCCTATAATCCCAGCACTCCAGGAGGCCGAGGCGGGTGAATCACAAGGTCAGGAGTTTGAGACCAGCCTGACCAACATTGTGAAACACCGTCTCTACTAAAAATACAAAAATTAGCCTGGTGTGGTGGCAGGCAACTATAATCCCTGCTACTCGGCAGGTTGAGGCAGGAGGTTGCAGTGAGCCGAGATCGTGCCACTGCACTCCAGCCTGGGTGATAGAGTGAGACTCTATCTCAAAAAAAAAAAAAAAAAGGAAATTTGGACAGTTACAGAGAAATGACGGATGCAGGGAGAAGACAGCCATCAGCAAGTCAAAGAGAGAACCCTCAAAAGGAATCATGTCTGCCGACACATTGATCTGGGACTTGCCAGGCTCCAGAACGGTGAGACAATAAATTTCTGTTGTTAAAGCTACCCCGTCAGTGCTACTTTGTTATGGCAGCCCGAGCAAACCAATACATCAAATAAGCAATATTTCATGTCTCTATATGACTATAAAGCAACAAATGGCTGGATATGGGTAGAGAATTCTAGCCTGCAATGTTTTCATGATGTGGGCCATAAAAGTGGATGCCGCCTTACAAATGGTTGCCTTAAATCCTTGGTGATTACAATCAATGCAATTCTTCAGTCCAGGAAAAAGACAAAGCTGCTTTCAAGGGAAGGGAGGAAACAGTAATCTGAAACTCCATCTGTACAATGACCAAAAATAAAAGCAAATGTGTTTGCAGTAGGCCTTGCCTTCTGCCCAAATTTTCTTTGGTTAAAACTGGGTAACTTGGCACCTCAGTATTAGCAGCCATTTATAAGTAATTGCTGGTAACGGGGAAAGTCAGACATCCAAGGCAGATGAGATGGGGAGAGGGGAGGCAGGATGTGGGGTAAATGTCCAAGATACTCACTTTGAGCTGGTCCACAGGCCCTTGTGTGAAAAAAATGCAGCTTCTCTAATCAGTGTTTTCTGAAAGTGAACTCTTTATCTTCTCTCATGGTGAGATTAAGTTTCTTTCGGAAGAAAGCAGAAGGAAATTTAATTTGCTTGCTCTCCTCTTTTTGATTTGTTTCCTACAGAAAAACCTAGTGAGTTGATTTTGAAAAAGACTTACACAATTATGGTTCCCTGGATTCTAACATATTTTCTCCTGCATATGGTTTCTAACTTTGGATTGCTTTCTTCTTTCTTTCTTTCTTTCTTTTTGACAGAGTCTCACTCTGTCACCCAGGCTGGAGTGCAGTAGTGCAATCTCGGCTCACTGCAACCTCCGCCTCTCGGATTCAAGCGATTCTCCTGCCTCAGCCTCCTGAGTAGCTGGGACTACAGGTGCGTGCCACCACACCCAGCTGATTTTTGTATTTATAGTAGAGACAGGGTTTCTCCATGTTGGCCATGGTGATCTCGAACTCCTGACCTCAGGTGAGCCACCTGCCTTGGCCTCCCAAAGTGCTGCAATTACAGGTGTGAGCACCGTGCCCAACCTTCTTTTTTTTTCTTCTTTTTCCTCTCCATCTGTCCCTCCTTCCCTCCCTCCCTCCTTTCCTTTCTTCCTCCCTTCTCCTTCCCTCCTTCCTTCTTTCCCTTCCTCCCTTCCTTCCCTCCTTTTCTTTGGGAGCAGAGGCTATCTTTAACATCCCTACACAGAGATATAAGATCCACTCTCCTGCTCAGCATCTTGCTACATTGTCTGTTAACCTCAATCTTGCCCATAAATTCTATCCAGTGCTGCAGTACCTTAAAGTAGAGTTGGGCTGTGACGTGGAGGAATCCTTGGCCCACCCAAAGTCACAAAAATCATTCATCCACAGATAGTAAAGTAGCATGAGGTGGAGAGGTGGCTGCCAAGAATATTTATCGAGCACCCCTCTGACCATCCTCTCTACGTGACCTCTTACCAGCTAATGTGATGGAGCAGTGTTCTGTTCTAATCGGTGCTAACACCCTTAACTGATTTCTAAGGCCAAATTGTTCTCCTATTTGGGGCCCAGGTCATGTCAGCCTTTTTCAGTCACCCCTGAACCACTCTCAAGGATTATTGGGGAATTTCTCTTCCTCTGATAATCTGTCCTATCACCCAGCAAAGGCGAGTTGTGGAGAAAAAGCCCCCAGGGGCCAGGCGCGGTGGCTCACGCCTGTAATCCCAGCACTTTGGGAAGCTGAGGCAGGCAGATCACAAGGTCAGGAGATTGAGACCATCCTGGCCAACATGGTGAAACCCCGTCTCTACTAAAAATACAAAAATTAGCCAGGCATAGTGGTGGGCACCTGTAGTCCCAGCTACTTGGGAGGCCGAGGCAGAAGAATCACTCAAACCCGGGAGGCGGAGGTTGCAGTGAGCTGAGATTGCGCTACTGCACTCCAGCCTGGGTGACAGAGCAAGACTCTGTCTAAAAAAAAAAAAAAAAGAAAAGAAAAAGCCCCAGGGATTGCCCGCCCCTAGCTCCCTGAAGAATAGGCGTGCAAAGGTGAAACAGAAGAAAATCCTACAACTATGGTGAGCGGACCCAAGAGGAAAGGGTGTGGGTCAACTGTTGTGCCTAAGAACAAAGAAAACAGCTGGGGTCTGAGGGGCAGTTGGTTGTTATCAGTTCTTCTAGAGGAACTGTTTTTTCCGGGAGGTGCTGGGATGGGCGTGGACGTGGAGGGACCAGCTTGAAAAGCAACTCCTTACAATCATACCCATCTTGGTTTGAACTCTCCTCCAACCACTGGCTGACAGTGAGACTGCAGACATCTCATCCCAAAGTGAAAGCCACACTATCGTATAGGGGTAAACGTAACTCTTCACACCCACCATCCTGTTACCAGGGTAGCTCTGATGAAATAACTGGGAAAGTTCCGTTTCCCTACTGTTTTTCTTTAGTGCCTTTATCTATAGACACAATTGCTTAAAGAAACCAGATGGCCTAGGATGCTGCCAGCACTTCTTGACCCTTAACCAAACACCAGAGGAAGATAAGATCCAGGAGAAACCGGTGCAAATTACAACAGGCAACCCCTCTTGTCTTTAGTTGATTAACATAGCGTTATAATGCTAAAACCCCCTCCCCTAAGAGAAGATCACCACTATTTGGTGTACATGCAATGTATGAAGAAGCATGTTTAGGAAGCATGCCCATGTGTCTGGAGTCTCACCCTGCACATGTTAACATACCTCTCCCACTCCACACCCAGTCCTTAAAAACCCTGCCTCCTGTTGCTCAGGGAAAGGATGCCTTTGGAATGAGAGCTTCCCTTCTCCTTTCTCTGGCCGATAAATAAAACCCAATTGCCTTTTCCAATTAGATGTCCTTTCTTTGCAACTGATGGGAAATTGGGAAAGAACTCAGTTTGCTGATGACAACCCCACCCTCCACACACATCAATGCATCTGAACCTAAGTAGGTGCTGTGAGTACTGAGAATGCTGGTGAAGACTGGAGAGCCTGACTGTGGATCAAAGGCCACAGCCACTCTCGGGGAACAAGGCCCAGGGAGACCCCTACACCTTCCCTATCACTATAGATACCAGAGCTTTGCAAGTCCACCTGACACATACAGCTGACACAAGCAACTGTTTGTCCACTCAAAACATACACCCCTAGGGCTAGAGAGCAGCAGCAGGAGGGCTTTCAAGGGAGAATACCAGAATGTCTAGTAGGTACTTGCTCAGGTAAATTTGGAGGGGCCTAAGGTCAAATATGATTCCTCCATCTGGCACAGAAGCTGGGACTCTTGATGGCAGCAGCATCCTAATCACAGAGGTTACACCAAGAGAGAGAACATAGTCTTTGCATGTGTCTCATGTCAACCGAAGAATAACTAGGTTCCTATGTTTGGAAAGGAGAGCTTCGTTTCTCATAAAGGGTTGCAGACTGCAAGGTGGCCATTCTGACAGGCTGGGAAGCGTAGCCTCCAGTCAGAAGCCAGAAACAAACACTTCAAGGGAAGGGCAAAGGGAACAGGAATCTAAGCTGGGCAGGGTGGCCTAACATACATATTTAATAAGCTAAAGGAGGAGACGTGAATATTCATAAAAAGAGCAGTGTACACTACACAGTTGAGCTCCATGCCCCTTTATGGGTCCCATGCATAAAAAGGCAACATTAGCATGATCCGAAGGGGCAGCTTTCAGTCCTCTGACATCAAAAGGTGAAGCAGAGGGCATGAAAACCTGTACTGTGCATTCTCCGAAAACTGGCCAGAGCCAATCCATGGTAGGTGATCTCTTATCAGGCAAAAGAGGAGAAGCAGTGTCCAGCAGCTGGTTGATCTCAGTGGTAGAGTCTTTTGAAAGGGCTGGTTTCTGTTCAGCCCTCAGGGAAAAAAGCTTCATTGCAGTTATTGAGGGAGAGGGTATAGCAATGTGTGTCTGATCTGCTATCCCATCACAGCTGAGAACTCAGTTTTCAAGGTTACTCTGGGCTTCCCATGGCCAAGCAAAGGTCCATTCAGTTAGGTGGGGGGCTTAGAATTTTTTTTTTTTTTTTTTTTGAGACAGGGTCTTGTTCTGTCACTCAGACTGGGGTGCAGTGGCATGATCGCAGCTCACTGCAAACTCTATCTTCTGGGTTCAAGAGATTCTCCTGCCTCAGCCCCCTGAGTAGCTGGAACTATAGGTGCATGCTACCATGCCCAGCTAATTTTTGTAATTTTTGTAGAGACAGGGTTTTTCCATGTTGTCCAGGCTGGTCTCAAACTCCTGAGCTCAGGTGATCCGCACATCTCCACCTCCCAAAGTGCTAGGATTACAGGTGTGAGCCACTGCTCGGGGCCAAGGCTTAGAATTTTATTTTTAGTTGACACTTTCATCTGACTTACTGTTGAACTAAACCAGAGGAGGTTCAGGGCTTGCAAGCTGACTGTTGCGGTCTTTCATCACTGGGGTGGGCTGGTAGGGGCAGGACAAAATTTGAAGGCCCCAGAAAGACCTCTGCTTTGCAAACCCTGATGTTATAGCCCTCATTTGTATCCTTCTGTGTGCTCTCTGTGGATTAGGGTCTAGACAGGAGGTAGCACACTGATTAGTTGGGAGCCCCAAATCCCCATGATGGAGGTGTCGTTTCCTACTGCAGTCATTTTTTGTGTTGTTGTTGTTGCTTGTTTGTTTGTTTTGAGATGGAGTCTCACTCTGTCACCTAGGCTGGAGTGCAGTGGCGCAATCTCAGCTCACTGCAACCTCCACTGCCTGGGTTCATGCGATTCTCCTGCCTCAGCCTCCCAAGTAGCTGGGATTACAGGCGTGTGCCACCATGCTCGGCTATTTTTTTTTTTTTTTTTTTTTTTTGTATTTTTAGTAGAGACGGGGTTTCACCGTGTTAGCCAGGATGGTCTCAATCTCCTGACCTCATGATCCGCCCACCTTGGCCTCCCAAAGTGCTGTGATTACAACTGTGAGCCACTGCGCCTGGCCTGCAGTCCTTTTTACACTGTGTTCACAGAAGCCCCCGATGCTCTCAGGAGCCCCTCCAGGGCACCCAGGCAGAGGAAGTGAGGATGTGGCATAGCAGAGCTCTGCACTGACGCCCTCCGTCTGCTTCAACAGAGCAGACACAATTTCTTCTACTTTCTGCATTTATTGGGTTTCTGGGTAGGATTTTATTTCAATAAAAGCTTATTAGTTAAGGTTCTTTGGCTGAAAGCTATAGAAACCAACTCAGGCAAATAAGCAAAGAGGATTTATTGGAAGTGTGTAGGGCTGGGGTGTTTTCCAAAACCAACAACCAATTTTCTGATTTTTCTGGACACTAGTTGGGTGTTCTACAATTCAATTTCATTTTCACACAAACTACCCAGAGTTAGCACAGACCTCACGGCTTAGGGGCTCAGTGCCGCAAGACACCTCCCCACCTCAGACAAAGCCAGCTGCAAATCCCAGGCCTCCTGAGCTTCTGACCTACCAGCTATAAATCAGGGGTTTCCATGACACTCTCCTTGAGTTCAATGATTTGTTAGAATACCTCGTGTAACTCAGAAACTCTTAGTACTACTGTTTTTTTGTTTTTTGTTTGTTTGTTTGTTTGTTTGTTTGTTTGTTTAAAAAAAGCATACAGCCGGGCACAGTGGCTCACACCTTTAATCCCTGCACTTTGGGAGACCGAGGTGGGTGGATCACCTGAGGTCAGGAGTTCGTGACCAGCCTGGCCAACAAGGTGAAACCTCGTCTCCACTAAAAATACAAAAAAAAATTAGCCAGGCATGGTGGCACGTGCCTGTAATCCCAGCTATTCAGGAGGCTGAGGCAGGAGAATCGCTTGAACCTGGGAGGCGGAGGTTGCAGCGAGCTGAGATCAGGCCCATTGCACTCTAGCCTCGGTGACAAAGCAAGACCTTGTCTCAAAAAAAAAAAAAAAAAGCATACAACTCAGGAACAGCCAGATGGAAGAGATGCATCAGGCAAGGTGTGGAGGGTGCACGCAGAGCTTCCATGGCCTCTCCAGCTGCACCTTGCTCCCTCCCGACACCTTGATATGTTAATCAGCACAGCAGCTCATCAAATCTTATTCAAGAGTTTAAAATGGTGCTTAATCTCCAGCTCCTCCGCTTCCTGGGGCCAGTGAGTGGGGCCAAAAGTGCTGACCCTCTAATCACTTGATTTTTTGGTAAACCAGCCCACTCTGAGGGTATCTAGGGGCCCCACCCTAGTCACCGCATTCGCATAAACTCCGGCATGATCAAAGGTACTCTTTGTTGTAAACCAGCACAGCCACTGAGGAAAACAGTGAGGAGAGGTTCCTCAGAAAAACGAAAAATAGATTCACCATGTGATCTAGCAGCCCCCTTGGGTACATACCCAAAAGAAAGGAACTCAGTGTGTCTAAAAGATATCTGCAAACCATGTTTATTGCAGAGCTACTCACAACAGCCAGGATATGAAAGCAACCGCAGTGTCCATCGGTGGATGAATGGGTAATGAAAATGCGGTGTATATACACAATGGAATATTATTTAGCAATAAAAAAGAATGAAAGTCTGTCAGCCAGGTGCGGTGGCTCATGCCTGTAATCCCAGCACTTTGGGAGGCCGAGGCGGGCAGATCACGAGATCAGGAGATCAAGACAATCCTGGCTAACGCAGTGAAACCCCATCTCTACTAAACAAAATACAAAAAATTAGCCAGGTGTGGTGGTGGGCACCTGTAGTCCCAGCTACTCGGGAGACTGAGGCAGGAGAATGGCATGAACCTAGAAGGTAGAGCTTGCAGTGAGCCAAGGTCATGCCACTGCACTCCAGCCTGGGTGACAGAGCGAGACTCTCTCTCAAAAAAAAAAAAAAGAATGAAACTCTGTCATCTGCAGCAACATGGAAGAAACTGGATGTCATTATGTTAAGTGAAATGAGCTAGACACAGAAAGACAAATATTGCAAGTTCTCACTCATATGTGGGACCTGAAAAAGTTGATCCAATGTAGGTGGAGAGTAGAATGATGGTTACCAGAGGCTGGGAAGGGTAGGTGGAAGGGGGATGAAGAGACGTTGGTGGTTAATGGATACAAAATCACAGTTTGATAGAAGGAATACTTCTAGTGTTCAATAGCATACTGTAGCATGACTATAGCTAACAATAATTTATTAAATACTTCAGGTAGCTGGAAGAGAACATTGGGAATGTTCCCAACACAAATAAATGATAAACATTTGAGGGGATGGATATGCTAATTACCCCGCTTTGATCATTACACATTCTATACATGTATGAAAATATCTCCTGTACCCCATAAATATGTACAATTATTATCAATTAAAAAGGGGAGCTCCTTATGAATAACAAAAGGCATTCTTATCACTCAGGAAATTCCAAGAGTTTTTGGCGTTCTGTGCCAGGAACTGTGAACAAAGACCAAATATATCTCTTAAAATACAACAGCAGATCTGATGAGATCACAGGAGAGGCTGAGGAAGCAGGTGTGGAATCAAGCATCCTCGAAGGTCTTGGCAGGAGGGCTTGCTCGTCTCTCTCTGCTGCTGGACGTGAAGAACTCAGACTGTCTCCATCAGCACATCACCCCTCTCAGGAGTCTATGCTGTGGAGGGGAGAGGAGGGCCCACCAGGCAGCCTGCTGGGCTGTCAGCCTCCGTGGCGGGAGAAGGGCACCTGCCTCTAGATTCTTACTGAGACAGCACATACCAGAGGGGCTGCCAGGAAACAGCAAATGTGCACATGCCTCGCAGGGGCGAGAAGCTGGGTGTCAAAACCAACAAATGCCCATTACAAACATCCTGGAAATTACCATGAGTAGAAAAAAGCAGTCACAAATCAGCCACCTGTTCACTCCTCCATCCCCCTCCAGATGTGCCAAGACAGCTGCCAAATGTGCTGCTTTCCCAGTGGGTTAGGAGCATGGGATCCATCAGACAGGCAACTCAGTTCTCTCTCAGCTCTTCTCGGCCTTACCTCAGGGAACCACTGGTGCTGGATGCAAAGAACTGGTGACTTCTGCCATTCCTACTCTGTCTACACAGACGGCATCCTAATTCCACCCCATGCCATGTGTCAACACTTGTGAATCCTTGCTAATGCAGGACAGGAAAATGGGAACAGGTTGGCAGCACAGAGAAGATGGTGAGGGGAGATGAAACAGACAGTGGAGAAGGAAAATATGTTAAGTCGCTGCTTACTGCAGAAAGTGTCACTGTAGGCCGAGCGCAGTGGCTCAAGCCTGTAATCCCACCACTTTGGGAGGCAAAGGTGGGTGAATCACCTGAGGTCAGGAGTTCGAGACCAGCCTGACCAACATGGTGAAACCCCATCTCTACTAAAAATACAAAAATTAGCCAGGCCTGGTGTCGGGTGCCTGTAATCCCAGCTACTCAGGAGGCTGAGACAGGAGAATCACTTGAACCCAGGAGGTGGAGGTTGCAGTAAGCCGAGACCGTGCCCATTGCACTCCAATCTGGGCGACGAGAGTGAAACTCCATCTTAAAAAAAAAAAAAAAGTGTCACTGTAACTACCCAGTGGGTTCATCCTATCCATTGCCCAGATAATAGAGCTGATTTATCAAGATGGGGGAATTGCAACAGAGAAAGAGTTTAATTCACATAGAGCTGGCTAAATGGGAGACCAGAGTTTTATTATGACTCAAATCAGCCACTTGGAAACTTCAGAGGCTAGGGTTTTTCAAGGATAGTTTGGTGGGCAGGAAATGGGTGCGGCTGATCGGTTGGGGATGCAATCACAGGGGTGTGGAAAACGGTCCTCATGCGCTGAGTCTGCTTCTGGGTGGAGGGCCACAGAGGAGCTGCTAGTCCGAGTGGAGTCATCTGGTCGTCAGAAATGCAAAAGTCTGAAGAGACATCTTAAAAGGTCAATCTTAGATTCTACAATAGTGATATTAATTACAGGAGTAATTGGGGAAATTGCAAATCTTGTGACCTCTGGAATAATGGCTGGTAACTGTATATGCCGGCATCTTAGCAGAATTCAGGCCCCCCTCATCCTCTTAAACTTATGACCTTTTATTTACTTTATAAAGGCAGTTTAGTTTTAAGGAGGGTTATCATTTATACTCTAAACTAAATTTCTCCCAAGTTAGTTCAGCCCATGCCCAACAATGACCAATGGCAGTTTGGAGGTTAAAGGCAAGATGGAGTTAGTTACGTCAGATCTCTTCCACTGCTATAATTTTCTCACTGTTACCATTTCTGGAAAGGTGTTTTAATCAGTACAAAAGGCAAAAGTGTGCCTCTGGCTGCCCTGAAGGTATACCAACACCCCACAGAGGGCAAGAAGGACCCAAACGCTGTTGAGACTGAGCCAGCTGTCACAAGAATGCCAGAGGGCAACAAGAGTGTGTATTAAGTGTGTGCACTGTAAGCCTGCGATGGGATGGACTGCTTCCAGGTCACATCCTGTCCTAGAGACAAGCAAGAGACTGGGGAGCCAAGCTTGTAAGGCTCCCAGCAGAATCTGTCTCATTTTAATGAAATAATAATTTTAATAAAATTATAATCACTTTAATGAAATGATGAAGACCCAGCATTACCAGTACTCTCTTTGTTGCATTCTAACCTCCTTTCCCTGGACTCATAAATCAAGCTTTACAAGAGTCGTTGAATTTCTGTACAGAAGTCCAATCATTGGGCAGGAAATGGGAGGATGGTGTTTCTGGATCCTTCTGGGAATGGGAGGAATTGTCCTGCGAATCCATTCTAGGTGCCCCCAATTCGTAGACTCCCCCGGGCACTCTTGATGGTCCATTCAGGTTTGTTTAGAAACCCCAATGGTAGCGTAAACAAAAAATAAAATCCTAAGTCCTCCACTGACTGAATGGATTCCCTCTGGGCCAAGGAGACCCCAGAAAAAAACCTTAAAAACTGAGTTTCCAGCCATGATGAGACAAGAGGTCAGACACGCCTCATTATACCTCCTCCCTTTTAGGGTTTAGACACAGCAACTGACCAGCATTCATGTTAAAGTAGACATGACAAAACTGACTCTCTGTGATAATAAGATAACAAATTATCAACAGGACAGAAGGCCAGGCCAGGCAAGGGCCTGCATCCCTACACTTAATGAATCCCTACACTTAATGAATCAACTGTGTTCTAACTGCCACAAGGCTTTTCTTTTTCTATAGCAGCCAAACAAGCACTGGTCTCGAAATAAACAATTGGTAGCTAATCCAGCTCATAGATGCTGTGATGAGCGGACTGGTGGAACGGAACCCCTGTTCCACCAGCCATAACTACAGCTTTCATTGGACAAGAGACTGATTTCAACGATTTTCTCCAGATAAGAAGACCCCTGACCACACACTGGTCCTGGCCAGTTTTTAGAGGCTGCACACTTCAGTGCCTTCCTGTCCTGAAAAGACCTTTTGACATATAGGGCCTCATTGTAACACATTTCAATGTTAAGACTCCACCCTAAGGTGAACATGGGTTCCATGTAACATGCATGTTTGTTCAATACACATGCCTCAGGACCACCTTCATGAATATTCATAGCTCCTCTTATAACATGTTGAATAGGTATGTTTGGCCAACCCTATTCAGCTTACATTCCTGTCCAAGCCCTCCTCCTTCAAAGTGCCTATCTCTGGTCTTTGCAGGATGGCCACCTTGCAGGCTGTAACGCTTTATAAGAAATAAAGTCTCCTTTCCAAACATACAGATTTGTGCATTTTTCAGTTAACAATAGTGATGACTAAAGCTTTGTAGGAAGTTGGAGAGCGTGTTGAGCAGCCTTGCTCTTTGGCAGATAGGTCAGAGATCATTCATTCTGAACTGTGGGCCAGAAAAATCACAGTCTAGACCAGCTATAGTCCAAATGTTTACATCCCTCCAAATTCATATGCTGAAATGCTAACCCCCAAGGTGATGATATTAGGAGGTGGGGCATTTGGGAGGTGCCTAGATCATAAGGGTGGAGCCTTCAGGAATGGGATCAGCGTCTTTATTTATTTTTATTTATTTACTTTTTTGAGATGGAGTTTCACTCTTGTTGTCCAGGCTGGAATGCAATGGTGCGATCTCAGCTCACTGCATCTTCCGCCTCCCAGGTTCAAGTGATTCTCCTGTCTCAGCCTCCAGAGTAGCTGGAATTACAGGCACCCGCCACCACACCTGGCTAATTTTTTGTATTTTTAGTAGAGATGGGGTTTCACCATATTGGCCAGGCTGGTCTCGAACTCCTGACCTCGTGATCTGCCCACCTCGGCCTCCCAAAGTGCTGGGATTACAGGTGTGAGCCACCGCGCCTGGCCAGTGCCTTTATTAAGAGAACTTGGAGAGCTCTCTCTCAACTTCTACCACGTGAGGACATAGCAAGAGGGGACCATCCATCAGGAACAGGCCCCCACCAGACACTGAGTCTGCTGGCATCTCGATCTTGGAATTCTCAGCCTCCAGAACAGTGAGAAATAAATTCTTGTTGTTTATAAGCCACCCAGTCAATGCTATTCTGTTATAGCAGCCTGAATGGACTAAGACAGGGCCCTGAGTGATTTTTCAATAGGGGACTATCATCTCTCACAAGCAAATGCTTTGGCACTGGGTTATTTTGAGCTGTGCTGGGTAAATATGACCAAGAGGCAGCCCAGGCCTACACAGACTGTTTGGGTTGTGGAGGGGGCCATACTCACCTGTGCCCTGGTCTCTGAGGTCTGGGAAAACAGCACCTGCACCTGCCATTCACCAGCACACCCAGCACAGTGTCGGAGCACAGTGTCTGTACACAGTGTCAGTACACAGGCAGTGCCCGCAGAACCTTTGAAGAACACAGCATGGAATCTCAATGCTGTTCCACACGCGATTCTCTCAACCCAGGTTAGGATTTGACGCCTTCAGGGCTGAGACATCAGAAAAGTGCTCCTCAGGGTCGTTCAAGTTCATCTGCCTGTAAACCCACTCGAGAGAGAGTAAGGCTAAGGAGGTTTAATTGTATTTTTTCCAGGCGAAGCCAGGAGAGATCTTCCTTAAGCTTCCTTAAAGCTTTTCTGAACCTGGAAATGAGCCAGACATTTAGGTGTGTCTTATGTTCCGTGATAGGTAGATTAACTGTAGCTGCTCCTAAAAATGATTTCAGGACAAAGATGTTATCAGATGAAGGCAAGGCCACAGATGCTTGTACTTTCTCTTTAAATAACGTAACTCAGCGTTGCCAGTTTTCCGTCGTCCGAAGGACACTTCCCTCACTCATGTAACTCAGGTTGGCCTTACCCAGAGGACTAATCCTCAACAGGCTAGGAATATCTTAACTACCATGTCTGTCTATTAGATGCCTGAATTTTTACTTACACAACTTCCAAGCTGTTCCAGAAAGGTTTTAATGCAATGACTGAGGACTGTGTGGTGGGGGAACTAGAAGACAGTAAAAAGAATCTCAGACTGAGAATCGGGATCCCAGATGATCGCCCTGTTTGCAAACACTCACCCACCCTGGGACCCCCTGATTCCTTAGCAATGAGGAATCTGGGTTTCCAGCTTTGGCATTCAATGATCTGAAATGAAAAGCCAAACAAGAGTCAAAACTGGGATATAACCTGAGAAACCTGTATCCCATTGCAGGGCCTCTTGCTATCCTGGGACCTCAGAATGGTTTACAATTCTCCAAAGGGTAGAAGTGCAATTTGAGTGGAAGGAAATGCCTTGGGACTTTATCCTGCCCCCTAATCAATGACAAAAAGCCTTCTTCTCATCAGATGTTATACATCATCCTTTCGGGATGATACGATCAGAGTCCATTTCTGTGATTCATTATGTCCCCAATAAACATTTTGAAGAAGAGGAAACAGCTGTCCCTTTTAAAAGACTATTTTATGCGAATCACTGTAAATAAACAGGATTTTTAAAACTCAGACTCTCTCTGAATGTTTGCTTTTCTAACATCCCTCTAAAACTTCAGCAAACTCAAGGGTAAAGCAATGCCACAGGAGCTACTAAAGCCAGTTCCTTCTCTCATTAGCGAGGTCTCCAGAGACCAACAGAAACCCCCCATGCAAACCATGCCTCCTTCTCCAGCAGGCAGGCACTTCCACAGTGCTTCCCAATTATCCACTCGGATAGTGTGAGGCTGCACTACCCTGCTGGATAATGGAGATATGAAGAAGAGCTAATGTGCTTCTGCCCTTGAGGACTCCACAGTCTAGCTTAGTGAGGGAGACAAGATGTGAACACATAGCACCACGTGGTGTAGTGTAGTGCTATGGGCTGAACTGTGACCCTCCTAAATCCACATGTTGAAGTCCTAACCTCTAGTACCTCAGCATGCCACTGTATTTGGAGATAGGGTCTTTGAAGAGGTAATTAAGGAAAAAGGAGGTCATCAGGGTGGGTCCTAATCTAATATGACTGCTGTCCTTACAAGAAGAGGAGATGACACAGAAACACATGGAGGGAAGACCATGAGGATACGGGGAGAAGGCAGCCATCTGCAAGCCAAGCAGAGAGGCCTCAGGAGAAACCACCCCTGCTGACGCCTTGTTCTTGGACTTCCAGCCTCTGGAACTGTGAGTATAAATTTCTGTTGTTGAAGCTACCTAGCATGTGAAACTTTGTTATGGCAGCCCTAGCAAATGAACACAGAGGACAATGGTGGAGTTTAGGGCTTCAGAGTAGTGGCAAGTCAAGGTCGGGAGGAATGTGGGAATTGCAGGGGGACGGTGCACCATTGTCATTGGCACCGTATCATAAACTCCTGGAGAAGTCACATCTGTGTGTTTATGTGACTGCAACTTACCTGGAAGACCAAAGCAGTGCTCTCAATCTTGGCTGCACTCCAGAGCCCCCTTAGAAGCCTTAAACCCCTGATGTCTAGGCCTCACCCTGAGAAGATCCCCCACCAGGTCGGAATCTCTGTGGCTGAGATCCAGGCCCCCATGGAGGCTGAGCCATGAGATGGGCAGGAGAGGAGTGGATCTTGGCTGAGGGAGACACCACCAAGGAAACCGAAGGTGTAGGGACCCTGAGTCTTCCCTATTGGATTCAATTTAGGATTTCATCACTTGTATATGTAGAAATGAACAGTATATGGCTGTAGGAGGATTAACTGGAATCGATAAATGCCATTGTCATTTGCATTAATTCTCCCCACCTTAGTGTGAACGAATTCTTTTGTGTGCATCCCAGCAAGGCAGGAGGATAAGGAGGAATGAAGAGCATTGACTTTGATTGACAACGGGCCGCATCAGGAGGCTGTAGAAGCTAGTGGAGTACTAGAACCATGAATTTGTGAGCATGCGTGATACACACACATATATATGCACACAATGTACACATACAGTATTTATAAAAACTTATATTTTTAATATAAAGTAAGGATTATACTGTATATTTGGTTTTTATCTGGACTTAACATTATATTCTTTAGAACATCTTTTTCAATGGCTGTTACATTTAGTTATACGTGTACTATGATTAATTTTACCATTTTCTATGTTTGACTCCCTGAAGTGGGACTGAATATAAAGTCAAACTCTATGAATTTAGTGTCAGTCCTGAACTAATACCATTTTTACCCAATCTACATTTTGACAGATTCCAAGAAACACGATAGGTGAGTCCCTGCAAGCTTCTTTTATCCTAGAAGGACATTCTGTAGCTGGGGTCCCTGGGTCCCTCTTTCCCCACTCTCTGGAAAAACTTACAATATAACTTTAATCTTATCTCTCATGTGTCTTATGTTTCTCCTTTCTTTTGGATCCCTTCCATTGTCCTGAAACGTCCTCAAACTTTTCCCATCTAAAAACTACATCTTTCTTCCACTTCACTTTCCCTTCCAGCTACTGCCCTATTCTCTATTTTCTCTTCTCTTTCCAGTCACATGTCTTAGAAGCTCTGCGTACACACGATGTTCCTATATCTCACTTCTCACAGGGTCCTCCCTCATTCCAACCTGGCCTCTAGCCCATCACATTATAACATGGGGTGTCCTAAGGCTGCCAATGAACTCCATTACGCCACCCCCAAAAGGGATATTTAGTGCTTATCTTGGTTGACCTTCAGCAATGACCTCCTCCTTCTTTTTTTTTTTTTTTTTTTTTTTTTTTGAGATGGAGTTTCGCTCTTGTGGCCCAGGCTGGAGTGCAATGGTGCGATATTGGCTCACCGCAACCTCTGCCTCCCGGGTTCAAGCAATTCTCCTGCCTCAGCCTCCCAAGTAGCTGGGACTACAGGCACGCACCACCACGCACAGCTGATTTTCTGTTTTTAGTAGAGATGGGGCTTCTGCATGTTGGTCAGGCTGGTCTCAAACTCCTGACCTCAGGTGATCCACCCTCCTCCGTCCTCCAAAGTGCCGGGATTATAGGCGTGAGCCACTGCACCTGGCCCGACCTCCTCCTCCTTCTTTAAATATGTCCTTCTCCTGGAGTGGAAACAGACATCCTACTCTAAGGATTTTCTCCTATTTCTGTGATTACACCTTCACCTTCTTGCCTCAGTGTTCTATATTCAGCATGAAATTTTGGAGTTCCTTAAGTCTTGGTCCTGAGCCTCCTTCTACTCTGTTCTCGCTCACTGGTCTTTCTCACCATGCCCACAGCTTCAGTTACTGTCACATAGAATGCTCCGTAGCCTCTGTCTTCCACTCACACATGTCTTCTGAGCTCCAGATTCATTAACCCCACTGGCTACTAGATATCGCTACCTGGGTGTATAAAGGCACCTCAGGTCCCAAACCCAATCCTCCTCTATTGTTCTTAACTCAGTAAATAGCAGCATTATCAGTGGAGGTGTGCAGCCCTGGAACCAAGGAGTTATCTTTATTTTTCTTTTTAAAAAAATATTTCAGCATTCTCACTCCCTGTGTCTGTCCCCAAACCCTGCTGGTTCGATTAAATCTTCCTTTGTCTCCACCTACCGTCACTACCTTAGTCCCAGCCTCTAGCCAACAGGGCCTGGATCACTCCGACTCTCTGAGACCTGATTTATTCACATTTACTCTTACTCCAATTTCATTTCAGTCTCCACACTGTAACCGGGTTATAGAATTAACTGGGAAGTCACTGAGGGTTCTAACCAGGGCAGTGGTGTGATTAGATTTGCCACTCTAGTTCTTTTAATTGTGTTGTTAAGGTGTCGATTTTAGATCTCTCCTGCTTTCTCTTGTGGGCATTTAGTGCTATAAATTTCCCTCTACACACTGCTTTAAATGTGTCCCAGAGATTCTGGTACAGTGTGTCTTTGTTCTCATTGGTTTCAAAGAGTATCTTTATTTCTGCCTTCATTTCGTTATTTACCCAGTAGTCATTCAGGAGCAGGTTGTTCAGTTTCCATGTAGTTGTGTGGTTTTGAGTGAGATTCTTAATCCTGAGTTCTAATTTGACTGCACTGTGGTCTGAGAGACAGTTTGTTGTGATTTCTGTTCTTTTATATTTGCTGAGGAGTGTTTTACTTCCAACTATGTGGTCAATTTTGGAATAAGTGTGATGTGGTGCTGAGAAGAATGTATATTCTGTTGATTTGGGGTGGAGAGTTCTGTAGATGTCTATTAGGTCTGCTTGGTGCAGAGCTGAGTTCAAGTCATGGATAACCTTGTTAACTTTCTGTCTCATTGATCTGTCTAATATTGACAGTGGGGTGTTAAAGACTCCCATTATTATTGTGTGGGAGTCTAAGTCTCTTTGTAGGTCTCTAAGGACTTGCTTTATGAATCTGGGTGCTCCTGTATTGGGTGCATATATATTTAGGATAGTTAGCTCTTCCTGTTGAATTGATCCCTTTACCATTATGTAATGGCCTTCTTTGTCTCTTTTGATCTTTGTTGGTTTAAAGTCTGTTTTATCAGAGACGAGGATTGCAACCCCTGCTTTTTTTTTTTTGCTTTCCATTTGCCTGGTAGATCTTCCTCCATCCCTTTACTTTGAGCGTATGTGTGTCTTTGCATGTGAGATGGGTCTCCTGAATACAGCACACCGATGGGTCTTGACTCCAATTTGCCAGTCTGTATCTTTTAATTGGGGCATTTAGCCCATTTACATTTAAGGTTAATATAGTTATGTGTGAATTTGATCCTGCCATTATGATGCTAGCTGGTTATTTTGCCAGTTAATTGACGCAGTTTCTTCATAGTGTCGATGGTCTTTACCATTTGGCATGTTTTTGCAGTGACTGGTACCAGTTGTTCCTATCCATGTTCAGTGCTTCCTTCAGGAACTCTTGTAAAGCAGGCCTGGTGGTGACAAAATCTCTCAGCACTTGCTTGTCTGTAAAGGATTTTATTTCTCCTTCACTTATGAAGCTTAGTTTGGCTGGATATGAAATTCTGGGTTGAAAATTCTTTTCTTTAGGTATGTTGAATATTGGCCCCCACTCTCTTCTGGCTTGTAGGGTTTCTGCAGAGAGATTGGCTGTTAGTCTGATGGGCTTCCCTTTGTGGGTAACCCGACGTTTCTCTCTGGCTGCCCTTAACATTTTTTCCTTGATTTCAACCTTGGTGAATCTGACAATTATGTGTCTTGGGGTTGCTCTTCTCGAGGAGTATCTTTGTGATGTTCTCTGTATTTCCTGAATTTGAATGTTGGCCCGCCTTGCTAGGTTGGGGAAGTTCTCCTGGATAATATCCTGAAGAGTGTTTTCTAACTTGGTTCCATTCTCCCCGTCACTTTCAGGTACACCAGTCAAACGTAGATTTTGTCTTTTCACATAGTCCCATATTTCTTGGAGGCTTCGTTCATTTCTTTTCACTCTTTTTTCTCTAATCTTGTCTTCTCGCTTTATTTCATTAATTTGATCTTCAGACACTGATATCCTTTCTTCCATCTGATCGAATTGACTATTGAAGCTTGTGTATGCTTCACAAAGTCCTCGTACTGTGGTTTTCAGCTCCATCAGGTCTTTTAAGCTCTTCTCTACACTGTTTATTCTAGTTAGCCATTTGTCTAACCTTTTTTCAAGGTTTTTAGCTTCCTTGCGATGGGTTACAAGATGCTTCTTTAGCTCGAAGAAGCTTGTTATTACTGACCTTCTGAAGCCTACTTCTGTCAACTTGTCAAACTCATTCTCTGTCCAGTTTGGTTCCCTTGCTGGCGAGGACCTGCAATCCCTCGGAGGAGAAGAGGCGTTCTGGTTTTTGGAATTTGCAGCCTTTCTACTCTGTTTCTCCCCATCTTTGTGGTTTTATCTACCTTTGGTCTTTGATGTTGGTGACCTACAGATGGGGTTTTGGTGTGGATGTTCTTTTTGTTGATGTTGATGCTATTCCTTTGACAGATTATTTTTAAAAATATTTGTTAATTCATTCAAGATAATAAACCTATTACATGTTTATACAAATAAATTTTTGGTTTTTGGAGACGGAGTCTTACTCTGTCTCCCAGGCTGGGGTGCAGTGGCATGATCTCAGCTCACTGCAACCTCCACCTCCCGGGATCAAGTGATTCTCCTGTCTCAGCCTCCTGAGAGCTAGGACTACAGGTGCCTGCCATCATGCCTGGCTAATTTTTGTATTTTTAGTAGAGATGGGGTTTCACCACATTGGCCAGGCTGGTCTCAAACTCCTGACCTCAGATGATCCACCCGCCTCGGCCTCACAAAGTGCCGAGATTACAGGCATGAGCCACTGTGCCTGGCCACAAATAAACAAATAAACAAAATGAAATATGACAAGAACTATACTGCATTATGTTCTTGCCCATCTCTTTAATGTCTGGCTTAGTGGAAAACAGCTGACTTCTCTGTCATATCTGCTTCTGCATTTAATGTGTTTTGATAAGTTGTTTTGGTGGAAGTATATAAAGAAAATCTTACTTTGCACAGACATGTAGTTAGAAAATGGAGTTCAATAGCCTTTCAGATACTGAGGATTTTCTTCTTTGATTCTACATCAAAACTCAACAAGAGGTAGTTTTTAAAGGCTAGTTGCAATGTGGAATCTGAGATTTTATCAATGAAACTTTTATATACTTGTTTGTTTGCTTGTTTGTTTGAGACAGAGTCTCGCACTGTCACCTGGGCTGGAGTACAATGGCGTGATCTCAGCTCACTGCAACCTCTGTCTCCCAAGTTCAAGTGATTCTCCTGCCTCAGCCTCCCAAGTAGCTGGGATTACAGGTGCACACCACCACACTTGGCTAATTTTTTATATTTGTAGTAGAGACAGCGTTTCACTATGTTGGCCAGACTGGTCTCGAACTTCTGACCTCGTGATCCGCCCGCCTCAGTCTCCCAAAGTGCTGGGATTACAGGCATGAGCCACCACGCCTGGACCTTTTATATATTTTTACATTAAAATCTATCGGTCATCCTGCACTTTGTTTTTGTTTTTGTTGTTGTTGTTGTTTGTTTGTTGTTTGTTAGTTTTTTAAGACAAGGTCTCACTCTGTTGCCCATGCTGTAGTACAGTGGTGCAATCATGTCTTACTGCAGCCTTGACCTATTGGGCTGGAGTGATCCTCCTGCCTCAGCCTCCTGAGTAGCTCGGACTACAGGTGCGCACCACCATGCCCAGCTAATTTTTAAAAATTTTAGCAGAGATGAGTTCTTGCCATGTTGCACAGGCTGATCTTGAACTCCTAACCTCAAGCAATCCTCCAGCCTCAGCTTCCCAAAGTGTTGGCATTACAGGTGTGAGCCACCACACCTGGCCTCAGACTGCATTTTGAATGGCTCTTTTACCCACTAGCAATCTGGAAAATATTTCTTCACTGAATTGTGCAGAATTTCCAAATAACAACATTTCACACAATATCAAAAAACCACATTCATTAATTTTACTACCAATCTCACTGGAAAACTTTTAGCAGATAAAAGTTTTCCAAAATTCTAATTTCCACTTGAAAACTTGAATTTTATCAATTGCAACATCGACAGGCTCATTTTATTCATTTTCATGAAAATGTCCATATGAACAACTCTAGTCTGTCTTTCAGTTGTTCTTTTAAGCAAAACTGATGATCCTTGAAGCTGGTTCAGCTCCGTCACATGTGCTTTCTGCAAGTTCGGCATACAGCAGCAATACTTCATGGATACTTTGCATTTCACCACTTGGAATATTAAAGAGATCTTTATTAAAGGGTTGACACAATAAAAACTAATAGTCTTGGGCCAGGCGCAGTGGCTCACGCCTGTAATCTGAACACTTTGGGTGGCGGAGGTGGGCGGATCACCTGAGGTCAGGAGTTTGAGACCAGCCTGGCCAACATATAGTGAAACCCCGTCTCTACTAAAAAAATACAAAAATTAGCTGGGCGTGGTGGCACATGCCTGTAATGCCAGCATTTTGTGATGCCAAAGTGGGAGGATCACCTGAGGTTAGGAGTTCGAGACCAGCCTGGCCAACATATAGTGAAACCCTGTCTCTACTAAAAAAACACAAAAATTAGCCGGGCATGGTGGCACATGCCTGTAGTCCCAGCTACTTGGGAAGTTGAGGCAGGAGAGTCGCTTGAACCCCGGAGGCAGAGGTTGCAGTGAGCCAAGATCGCGCCATTGCACTCCAGCCTGGGTGGCAGAGCAAGACTCTGTCTCTCAAAAAAAATTAATTAATTAATTAATAGTCTTTAGTACTTCATCCAGGACATTCTTAAGTAAGAGTGGCTTTTATTTTCAACCACAAGCGTGTGGTGGGAAAGAAGACTATGACAACGACCAGTGGTAGAGTTTAGTGCCACTGCCTTGATCTATGTCCAGAAGTTTTATCCATCACTGCTTCTGCGCCAAGGGTGCAAATGGAAATAAAGTTGTTCCAAGATAAATCATAAGATTCAGAAAGTTATTCAATCCTTTGAATATTTATCACCATCTGTATCTGTTGCTGAGAATTCATATAAAATAAGTTACTCTTTAAAGAATAGTTGGTGCTGATACAGCAAGTCAAGCCATGTCTATAGATTTGCTCAATTGTAAGGCGAAAGTAAATTTCTGAAAATAAGCTATTAACTTGGTCTTCATGTGTGCAGCTAAATCTTTAATTTAGTGAGTCCCGGCAACATTTGAAGTGGCACTGCCTCGAATTTTACTGACTTTTCATCCAGTGGGCATTCAGGAATGTCAGCTGTTCAAGACTTTCTTAGTCTCTCAGCTATTGTGTGGGCTTCTCCAGCCAAAGCAATGTGGCAGCTCACTGTTAGATAGAAGCTTCAGTGACTTTCTCATTTCTAGTTTGAAAAGCTGGAAGAAATTTTGGTTTTTAAAGAGCTCATAGGATCTGTAATCCCAGCACTTTGGGAGGCCAAGGTGGGCAGATCACCTGAGGTCGGGAGTTCAACACCAGCCTGACCAACATGGATAAACCCCGTCTCTACTAAAAGTACAAAAAATTAGCTGGGTGTGGTGGCACACACCAGTTACTCGGGAGGCTGAGGCAGAAGAACCTCTTGAACCCAGGAGACAAAGGTTGTGGTGAGCCGAGATCATGCCATTGCACTCCAGCCTGGGCAACAAGAGCGAAACTCCATCTCAAAATAAATAAATAAATAAGTAAGCTCATAGTATGTATGCATAAAATATTCAATTCCTTTTTCTTTCAACTCTAAACAATCTTGAAAGAATGCCACAATTTACTGGTACCATAATACTATATGAAAATGTCCTGTTGCATAAGACACAATAAGGTACATAATGAACGTCTATAGAGCTGAGAAGATAGCTTTCATTATGATTTCATTTTTCTTTTATTCAGTTCTTATTTGCAGTTTTATCCAGTTTCTTTGGCGTAGAGTCCTCCTTTACACTTGTTGATATGTCCATTTCAGTATCTTTAAACATAGAAGTCGCAGCTATGGGTTGAAAAAGCAAATCTTCTCATCTCTCTGTTTAAAGCCAACGATCCATCCTCCTCAATTCTGAAGATGAAGCTTTGGCTCTGTTTTCAAGTTCTTGATAGATTCTAATCAGTAACCCTTTGTCAATTTGTGTTGTGAATGTGTTCTACCAGTTTGTGGCTTATGTTTTCACTCTCTTTATGATGTGTCTTGATGAACAGAAGTTCTTACTTTTAATATAAAGTGTGTTGATCTTCCCCTTATGATTTATATTCTTTGTGTCTCATTTAAAACATCCTTTTGTTTTAAATATTGTCTTGTAGAAATTTTATAGTGTTGTCTTTCACATTTTAGACTTTATCTGGAATTGATATTTGTATACAATGTAATGCAGGGATTTGATTTCATCATTTCCCCCACTCATCTGAAATGCTACATTTGTCCTAAATGAAATATACATATACATGGGCCTATTCCTAGGTCCTCCATTGTGTTTATTGTTCAGTGGGTATATCTTGTGCCAGTACTACACTGTCTTTATTATAGCTTGGAAAATTATAGCTTACTTATTATATTTCATAGGCAGGTCTCTCTACCTTGTTCTTTTAAGGAGTGTCATGACTATTCTTGACCCTTTTTTCATCCTTATAAATTTCAGGAAAAGGCTTTTAGATTTTATTTAAAAAGAAGAAGGAGGAAGAGGACGAGGAGGAAAAAATGGCAAAAAAAGAAGATGGAGAAAAAGCAACAGCAGCAAAGAAAACAACTGTGTGGGAATTTTCATTGGAATTGCATTAAAATACAGATTGGAAGAGAAATTACATTTTAAGATATTGAGCCTACCTATTTAGGAATATGGCATATTTTTCATTTGCTTAGGTGATCTTTCATGATTTTCGTTAAAGTTTTATCCTTTGTCTCCATAAAGGGGACTTGAATATTAGATTTGTTCCTAGGCATTTTACCTTTCTGTTGCTAGTACAAATCTTTTTTAAAATTACCTTTTATAACTGATTAAAGTAGGTATGTAGAAATGCAATTGAAATGCAGTCAAAATATTGATTTTGTATTTAGCCATATAGTTTCTGGGTTTTTGTTTTGCAATGGGGGTCTCACACTGTCTCCCAGGGTGGATTGTAGCTCACTGTAACCTTGAGGTCCTGGGCTCAAGGGATCTCCTTCCTCATCAGCCTCCCGAGTAGCTAGAACTACATGTGTGTGCCACCATATCCAGCTAATTTTTGTTGTTTTGTAGAGCTGAGTTCTCACTATATTGCCCAGGCTGGTTTCAAACTCCTGGCCTCAGATGATCCTCTTGCCTCAGCCTCCCAAAGTGCTGGAATTATAGGAATGAGCCACTGCACCTGAACTAAAATCTCTCTTTTTTTTTTTTTTTTTTTTTTTTGAGATGGAGTTTCGGTCTTGTTGCCCAGGCTGGAGTGCAATGGCGCCATGTTGGCTCACTGCAACCTCTGCCTCCCAGGTTCAAGCGATTCTCCTGCCTCAGCCTCCCATGTAGCTGGGATTACAGGCATGTGTCACCACGCCCAGCTAATTTTGTATTTTTAGTAGAGACGGGGTTTCTCCATGTTGGTCAGGCTGGTCTTGAGCTCCCAACCTCAGGTGATCCACCCGCCTCGGCCTCCCAAAGTGCTGGGATTACAGGCATGAGGCACCGTGCCCGGCCAAATCTCTTATTAATTTTGATAATGTACCTGTAGATTCTTTGGGGTTTTCTACATAGGCAATGATATCATGCTCAAGTAATAACAGTTTTGTTTCTCCCTTTCCAATCCGTATTTTCCCCCTTGTTTTACTGCACTGGCAAAGAAGTGAAATCAATTGTGCTGTGACTTTTTTCCTGATCTTAACAAGATGAGTTCAATATTTCACCTTTAAGTATTGTGTTTGCTGTAAGTGTTTTGCAGATGCTTTTTAAAAATCAGCTAAGGAAGTCTCTTTTACTCCTAGCTTGCTAATAATTATTTTAAAAATAATGGATGATATTAATATTATCAATTTTTTTGCATCTATGGAGATACCCTGTCACATCCACCAAATTTTTTAAAATCATAGCTTATCTGACAGACGTGGCAGCTCATCCCTGTAATTCCAGAACTTTGGGAGGCCAAGGTGGGAGAATCGCTTGAGCTAGGAGTTTGAGACCACCCTGAGCTTCATTAAATCATTCTGATATTTCTACTGTTCAGGAAGAAGTAAAGATTTTTGTTCACTTTACACTTTAAGTTAAATATTGTAATAAAATATTCAATGTAATCTCTAAACCAGTGCTGTCCAACAGAAACAAAATGCTAGATTATATATATAGATATATATATATTTATATATAAACACACACAACGAATGCAAGATGCATATGTAATTTTAAGATTTCTGGCTGGGTATGGTGGCTCACACCTGTAATCCTAGCACTTTGGGAGGCTGAGACAGGTGGATCGCTTGAGACCAGGAGTTTGAGACCAGCCTGGGCAACATGGCAAAACCCTGCCTCTTACCAAAAATACAAAAAAAAAAAAAATTAGCTGGGCATGGTGGCATGCACCTATAGTTCCAGTTATTTGGGAGGCTGAGGTGGAAGGATCACCTGAGTCCAGGGGCGTCGAGCCTGCAGTGAGCTGAGATCGCACCACTGCATTCCCGCCTGGGCGACAGAGTGAGACTCTGTCAAAAAAAAAAAACAAAGAAGGAAGGAAAGAGAAAGAGAGAGAGAGAGAGAGAAAAGGAGGGAAGGAAGGAAGGAAGGAAGGAAGGAAGGAAGGAAGGAAGGAAGGAAGGAAGGAAGGAAGGAAGGGAAGGAAGGAAGGAAGGAAAGGAAGGAAGGAAGGATTCTAGTAACCACATTTTAAAAGAAGACACAGGTGAAATTAGTTTTAATTATATATTTTAGAAGGCCCAGCATGGTGGCTCACACCTGTAATCTCAGCACTTTGGAAGGCTGAGGTGGAAGGATTGCTTGAGCCCGGGAGTTCAATACCAGTCTGAGCAACATACTGAGACTCCGTCTCTAAAATATATATGTATATATAAATGTAAAGCAATAATTAACAGAGGAATGAGCAGAAAATTTCAAATCTACCATCAATAGTGGAAATTATGCTATACTTCTCTTTGTAATTGATAGAACAAGCAGGCCAAAAAAATCTTTAAGGATATAGAAGATTTGAAGGGCATATTAATATATCGGGTTAGTTGATGAATTTATGAAGAACATTGCCTCTAAAAATTAGAGAATATATATTATTTTCAACCACATGTAATATTTTTAAAAACTAGCCATAGGCTAGATCATAGAGCAAACTTCAACAAATTTCAAATGACTGGAATCATACAGATCACATCTGGCAACAATACAATTAAATCCATGACAAAAAAAGACACCAAGAAAAATCTCCAGCACATAAAGGATATCAAAAAACACACTTCTACATAGCTCAGAGGCAAAGAAAGCTGCCACAATGGAAATTTTTAAAACTTAGGACTGAGCCATAGCAAATGTAACACATATACAAATTTTTAGAGTGGCAAAAACAAAACTTTGAAGGACATTTACTGTCTTAAATGCTTACCTAAGAATAGAACAGAAGCTCAGATTAAATGAGCTAAACATCTAAATTAAGAAGTTTAAAAAAAGTAGAGTAAAACAAAAAGAAAAGAAATAGTAAAGGTGGCAAAAATTTTAAAAATATATAACAATCATACAGTAGAAAGATCATAAGGCTAAATATTGGTTCCTTAAAATACTATTAAAATAGCTCAAACTCTGGCAAGATTTATCAAGGAAACAAGGAAGAAAGCACAAATAAATAAGATTAATAATAAAAGAAGGCTATGACAATAAATGCAACAGAGATTTAAAATATGATATGAAGGCTGGGCGCAGTGGCTCACGTCTGTAATCCCAGCACTTTGGGAGGCCGAGGCAGGTGGATCACCTGAGGTCAGAAGTTCAAGGCCAGCCTGGCCAACATGGCAAAACCCCGTCTCTACTAAAAATACAAAAATTAGCTGGGCATGGTAGCGGGCACCTGTAGTCCCAGCTACTCAGGAGGCTGAGGCAGGAGAATTGCTTGAACCTGGGAGGTGGAGGTTGCAGTAAGCTGCAATCGTACCACTGCACTCCAGCCTGGGTGACAGAGCAAGACTCCATCTCAAAAATAAAATAAGATATGAATAATTTCATGCTAATACATTTGAAACCTTAGATGAAATGGATACATGCCAAAAAAAATACATCTCATCAAAAGTAACTCAAAAAGAAATTGAATATCTTAATCATTCTATAATCAGTTAAGAAATAAAATCTATAGCTAAAAATCAATTATACATTCAGATGCTTTACAGTCAAATTCTACCAAACATTGAAAGAACAGTTCATTTCAATCTTACATGGAAAATGATGGAACATTTAAATATTAGCAAATAAAATCCAGCAATGAGTTTAAAAATATATTATTTTTCCAGGAATGCAAGATAGTTTTAAAATTAGAATATTGATGAACGTGTAATATTTTGCTACATTCATAAGCCCATTTCTTACATCTGTAATAATTCTCTGACATTGCTTTTAAACAAGTCGGACACATGTCTCCCGCCCTCGCTTGCTACACTACACCAGCTGAGAAGTGTTCCTTGGAGTTGGCATAGAGGAAAATGCCAGGGAGATTAGTGAGAACGATTTCAATGCCACGTGGGGAGGCAGGGCCGAAATAGGACCACAGTGGATTGAAGACAAATGGAGGTGAGGACCCTTTGTGAAGCTGTTAAGAGTTGGAAGCAAAGGCCGGGCACGGTGGCTCACACCTGTAATCCCAGCACTTTGGGAGGTGGAGACGGATGGATCACAAGGTCAGGAGTTCAAGACCAGCCTGGCCAAAATGATGAAACTCCGTCTCTACTAAAAATACAAAAATTAGCCAGGCGTGGTGGTGGGCACCTGTAATCCCAGCTACTTGGGAGGCTGAAGCAGAGAATTGCTTGAACCTGGGAGGCGGAGGTTGTAGTGAGCTGAGATGGTGCCACTGCACTCCAGCCTGGGTGACAGAGTGAGACTCCATCTCAAAAAAAAAAAAAAAAAGTTGGAGACAAAAAAAAAAAAGAAAACAACAACAAACAAACAAAGAGATGGAGACAGAAGAACCAAGAGGCAGATACAGTTTCCCAGCTTCCTGGGCCCCTCCTACAATCCCGAGAGGGTTTGTCTGCATTTCCTTCATACTTCCCATTTTAGTTTGCAGTTTTATTTGAGCCTATTCAAATCAATTTCTGCTCTAATAATATTCACCTAAGATAACCGCCTTCTTTGTGAAGGAATTCCTACTTATCTTTAAGACAGAGCTGAAGTTTCAACTTCAATGGGATGTCTCTCAGATGCTCAGACAGATTTGTTTCCTTCTATGTGAACTTGTAACACTTTGTTTATAATCATCTTTATTGTCTAATTTCAATACCAGGTGAGAAGCATCACTTATGACATCACATTACAATCAGTTTTTAAGATACTAATTTCTTTTAATGCCTGGGATATATTAATGGTATAGCCCCAGCAACTGTGTCTTAAATAAATAATATCAGACATTATTAGGTACTGGGCACTGTGTTTGGTGTTTATGCACATCAACTCATCTAGCCTTTATAGCTATGAGATACATACTTTTATTATCCATTTAATAAATTACAAACTGAGGAACAGAGTAACTTGCCCAAGGTCACATAGGTAAGTACTTAGACTAGGGTTCAGATCCAGTCAGTTCCCAGAACCCTCTATTATGATATGGAGGTCATTCCCATCTTAATTTGAAACATTTATTACATTATCATCTTAACTTGAAAGGTTTTTCCAAGGGACTCTGTCTACAATCAGAGGGAGACTGTAATTTACCTGTATATTTACATCTTGCACAGTGACTTCCACGGCTTTAGAAAGGTAAGAATGGGGTCTTAGTGTATTTGCAGGTGAACATAGCTCCCTGAGGTTGATCATTAGTCACTGTGACAGTGACATGGGGCTTAGGAAATGGTGAAGGTGGTAAGAACTGGGGTTTTTTGTTTTTTGTTTTTCTTTTTGAGATGGGGTCTTGCTTTGTCACCCAGGCTGGAGTGCAGTGGTGCAATCACAGCTCATTGGAATCTCAAAGTCATGGGTTTAAGAGATTCTCCCATCTCAGCCTCCCAGGTAGCTGGGACCACAAGTGCACACCACCAAGCCTGGCTAACTTTTAAAAGCTGTGTTGTAGAGATGGGGTCTCGTTGTGTTTGCCCAGGTTGGTCTCAAACTCCTGGCCTCAAGCAATCCTCCTGCCTTAGCCTCCTAAAGTGCTGGGATGATAGGCATGAGCCACCGTGCCTGGCCAGAACTGCTTTCTAAGCTACCTGTTGCTCAGTGTTGCCCACAGACACTGTGAGGTCGTGGTTATTACCCATTTCTTTCACCGTCTAGGATTTGTAAATATCTGTTTTTGAGAATGATGTTCACTAGTTCCACTAGTGCATATTCCCTAGTTCTCATTGATTTCCAGGCCCTGTGCTGAGCACTCTATTATTCCACGCTGTCCTCCTAGTACAGAGGAGGAAGGTCGGGCTGAGAAATATCAGGATAATGTGCATAAATTTTACATAGCCAGGAGGAGATGAAGCGAGAGTCTGACTGCAATGCACGCTCTGAACAACTGTCCTCATGAACACCACGTCACCTACGCTCTGGTCCCTGAATGTGGTCTCTCAGCTGCTCACTGGTATCCAGAGAGCCCAATCTGGGCTCTGGCTGGGTGTTGGGATGTGGTTAACCGGGTTGGAGGAAATCCTTGTTTTTCCTACGGTTGCACCGACTGGTCTTTATGTTGTGTGTGAAATCCGCCCTCCTCAAAGCACACGGAGAAGGTGCTCGTCAGCGTCCCCTGCTGGCCTCAGAATGCTAAAGAGGGTGGATTTATGGGAACTCCCGCAGCCAGCTCTGCGTGGTCACAGTATCCAACATCCAAGCAGATCCCTCTTTCTCAACAACAAACACCACTCTGTTGTAGGGTTGCTAGAGAGCTGGGCCAGCATGTGTAGGGAAATTCATACACTTCCAGCATGTGTGGGGAAATTCACACATTTCCCAAGGCTTTATTGGGGATCATGAAGGGATTTTATTTAAGACAGAGTAAGCTACATGTGGCCAAGGGACCTTGCAAATTTAGTGGAGGCAGCCGGCAAAAAGGAAGGGGTATGGGGGTGGGGGGGGCGGTGGGGGAGGATAGGCCAGAGTCAAATCCTGGCTTCTGCGTTTATGAGCTTTGTAAATTGGTAAGTTGTTTTTCCCCATTAATTCATTGCCTTGTTTTCCCCATCTGTAAAATGGGACTAGCCATGCTCAACTGGCAGTTCTGAAACTTACCCAAGAAGATGCAGCCAAAGTTGCTCAGTAGCTCTTCAGTTAGACTGTCTGTGAAATCCACGTGTGGTTTAGACCCAAACACCCATAGCAATGGTTTGACAATTCCAAATGTAGCTGCTGAAACGAAGAAAATTAAGGGTCTAGGGGAAATCATTTTCTCTCTTGAATATGTTTCTTTAAAAAGAAAAAGAGCCTAATTTAAGTGACAATGTGTTGATTAACAGCTGGGTGTTTCTAAAGGGTTGAAAATTAAGCGCCCAGTTATCTGGTCAACTTTAAAATAAAGGCAGTTAAACACACTCTGGGCTGGGCGCGGTGGCTCACACCTGTAATCCCAACACTTTGGGAGGCCGAGGCAGGCAGATCACCTGAGGTCAGGAGTTGAAGACCAGCCTGGCCAACATGGCGAAACCCCGACTCTACTAAAAATACAAAAATTAGCTGGGTATGATGGTGTACGCCTGTAATCCCAGCTACTCAGGAGGCTAAGACATGAGAATCGTTTGAGCCCAGGAGGCAGAGTTTGCAGTGAGCCGAGATTGCACCACTGCACTCCAGCCTGGGCAACAGAGTGAGACTCTGTCTCAAAAAATGAAAATTAAACACACACACACTCTGTCATAGAGGAATTTCTGGGAACTGTCTAATTAAGGACACCGCTCTGCTCCAGAGAACCTACGGGGTCATGTTCTCACTCGCCACTCCCTTGTCCGCAAAGGGAAGTGCTGCATATATAAAATCACTGAAAGAATCACATGATTTCCTTTATTTCTCTGGCCTTAAAACCTCCCGAGTGGGTAATCTGACTCACAGGTCTAGGAAAAGGGCCATTCAGGATAGTAGTATTGGCGGGTATTTTACAATGGAGCTGCAGACATCAGCACCAGCCTCCTAAGGACACCTTGAAGACGGACACAAAGGATGCAATTCATTCTTGAAGAAGAAGAAAAAAATCCACACAACTCAACCAGGGCCTGCTAGCATTACCAATCCCCACCCTTCCCTTCTGCTTTTCTTATTTCACAGGCTCTGCAGCTCCCTGCAGATGGAGCTGCTGCCTGTACTCCCAGGCTGCTCTTTCCATGGCGAGGCTGACCGTTCTGCTGCCCTCTGCCCTGGGCTCCCATTCAGGCAGAAATTCCCATTAGACGCTCTGTACAGAAGACAGGACTCGGCTGGCAGGTATTGTGCTGGGCTGAATTGGTGCAGCTGCTGTGTGGCATTTTGATTGATGCTGAGTCTGGATGCGACCTTTTAAAATGCAGTTTCCTTTGAAAAGGCAGCTCGGAAAATCACTCTGGCTGTGTGTGTGTATGTTTTCATGTGTGTGTGTTCATGCATGTGCTCTGCACGCTCTGAGTGACTCTACGAATACACGATTTGCTCCTATTGAATTTAACTGAAGCATCCCCAAAGGAGCAAAACAAATTCCTCATCCACAGATCCTTAACAGAAGAGAGATCCAGGCCTTTCCATGTCTAAGACACACTAAGATTACCCATAATTTTACCTTGAGCTGGGTGCAGTGGCATGTGCCTATAATCCCAGCTACTCAGGAAGCTAAGGTGGGATGATTACTTGAGCTCAGGAGTTCGAGGCTATAGTGTGCCATGATCACGCCATTGCACTCCAGCCTGGGCAGCAGAGGGAGATCCCACCCCTAAATTTAAAAAAAGAAATCGCTTTGCACCTAATACTTCAAAATAGGCAGTTGTAGTGAGTTTCCATGATGCCCCCAGGGCATTTCCAATTCCAGGAGCTCACTGCTGTGACTTCCTTTTCCAGGTAAGTACAAAAATGTAGCTTTGTCCCATAGGACATTAGACCAAAAAAAAAAAAAAATCCAGCCTTGCAGTTGTTCCAGCTATTCTGGAAAATAAGACCTGGTGATTCTGGATTCCACAGTCTAAACAGCAGTCAGAGTGACAAGATTCTATAGAAGTTGCAGTTGTATAATCCAGCTAATAACCAAATCAGCCATTAGACACACATCCACTGGAAAGCAAGTCGATTAGTTCCGGTGGTTGTGAATGGTCTCATCATTTCATTTCACAGCAAGCTTTGGCATTTCTTTTGAACTAAGGAAGACACGAAGATACAAAGCTTTTTTCCAGTTCATGGCACTGCTAAACTATGAGTTAAGAAATCCATTTCATGATGTTATATTTTTTGCACATGGTAGTCTTTCTCATTACACTCTTCCCAGTTGTGGTCATTCCTCTCTACTACACAATTCTTACTCAGTGCAACATTTCAAGAGGTATTCATGGTGACCTCACAGTCCCACCCTTGGGATTTGGAGGAAGGGGCACCATTTGAGAGACAAATGAGTGCAAAACTAACACATCAATGATGGTAGGAGCAGGCTGAGCCCAAAGAGAGAGTTTCCATATGTTACCTAAAAGGCCTGGAGGACACCAAACCTAAAGGGGTGAAGAGCTCATATCCGTAGAACTGGAGTGTAATTTAAAACACGTGCCCAGACTGGACACGATGGCTCATTCTTGTAATCCCAGCCCTTTGGGAGGCTGAGGCAGGTGGATTACCTGAGGTCAGGAGTTTGAGACCAGCCTGACCAACGTGGTGAAACCTTGTCTCTACCAAAAATATAAAAAATTAGCCAGGCATGGTGTGGCCGCCTGTAATCCCAGCAACTCGGGAGGCTGAGGCAGGAGAATCACTTGAACGCAGGAGGCAGAAGTTGCAGTGAGCCGAGATTGTGCCATTGCACTTCATTCAGCCTGGGCAACAAGAGTGAAACTCTGTCTCAAAAAAATAACTAACTAAATAAATACAAATAAAACACATCCTGAACCAATTTTGGTAACCCCATATATGAATACGAGATGTACTAACACCAGGATGGGTGTGAATTGCATTCGAAGGCTAAAGAGCAGGGAGGCAGAGTGTCCAAATGTGTACTGTCTGTGCCTCAGGCAGAAAGGGTGTCCTCATTCCAGAACACCCTTGTTCTTTAGCCAGAAATGCTCCAGGTGCAAGAAGGGCATTTTTCAATCTGCTTTGGGTGGACAGAACTGTCCCTTGGTAACCATTTATTTTGCCTGCTTCAATTCTGTGCTCAAAACACAGCTTTCTGACCTAAGAGCTGTGTCCCATATTGTTTACTCTGCGGGGCGTCCTGGGTAAATGGCCGCCCACACTCTCCACCTACAAGGGCTTCCCATCTAAGGAATGCTTTGCCCCATCAATGGGTGCCGAGTGAATTTGGCCAGTGAGCCTGCCCCAAGATGGTCATCAACTCTAAGGGGAAGGATAAAATTCTGTTTCTGGCCTTTTAAACCTGGATCCCTGACTCTGAACCATGGAGACTGTTGAAGGTACTGCCCACCCACGGGGACCCCTGAAAGCACACAGTAAGGCACCCTGCGACTTGAGCTCCTCTCTTAGTTGTCATAAGCATGCCTGTTCAGCTTACTGGCATTTGATATTCATCAAGCTGGAAGGCACGACTTGTCTCTACAGTTTTTCACAGAGAGATTTTGGTAGGTTCAGATTGTATTTTTTTGGTTTATGTTTGGTCAGTTGTTTGGTTGGTTGTTTAGTTGGTAATTTGGTTGGTTGCTTGTTTGTTTAGTTGGTTGGCTAGTTGTTTGTTTGTTTGGTCTGTTGGTCGGTTGGTTGGTTGCCGAGGTAAGATTGTGAGCAGCTCGTTGCACACTCACATTTGCTCTGACTTACGACTTAAAGTGAAGTACAGGGGCCTGGGTTCTAGTACCAGCTCCATCCCTAGCTAAGTGTCACTCCCTGGGTGTTTTACTTTGGGTTCCCTAAAGGCAAACTCTGAGACAAGAACTTAGGAACGAGTGGCTTATTTAAGCAGGAAGCACAAGTGAGGCATGGGGAAATGAGGCCAGGAGGGAGAACAGTCAGGAAAGGGTGTGCTGGGTTCCCCCGGCGCACCTGAAGCTCAGTTCCACCAGAGGCCCTCAAAGGAGAGTGTAGAAACACTTCAAAGCTGTCCATGTGAAAGATGGGGAGAAACCCACCAATGCCACCTGATGTGGCTGACATTTGCCCTTGGAGTCATGAGATCCTCAGCATCGTCCAGGCTACCCCACATACAGACTGAGCAAGATTCCATGATGGAAGCCATTGGCCTGCAGGGACTGCCCACTGAAAATATAGACTAATGCAGAGGTGGCTGAGGGGACAGGGATACCAGGGTCTTTGTCTGTAAAATGAGGAAGATGAACTAGAGCACATCTCTGGCTCCCTCTGCCTGGGCAGTGACTCTCACCTCCCTGGACTGCAAGGCGACAGGACAGCACCTGCTTGTGACCTCAGAGAGCTGCATGTGGTTGGCACATCCACACAGGTGTCCAGTGCACTGCAGAGGGGCTGCACGAGGGCCTGGCTGCACCAGAGATTTGGGTTGCAATGTTCTTATAAAGTCAGGAAGGAAATGAAAGTATTCTAGCAATTGCAAGGTCTTGAAAGTAGCCATCCTATGAAGAGGCTGCCGTTTCCCTCGGAAAACTTGCGTTCTGATGATCTGATGACCCTTTCTTTTTGCTTACTTTCCCCTCAAAAAGTGGAGAAATACGTTTTAATCATTAATAAACAAAATAATTGTACACACTACATAATTCATAAATACCTCCACATCTATTATCTCACTTAAACTCCCCAGTAGTCTTGTAAGATAGGTAGGAAATATATCCCCCATCTTAAAGGTAAGGAAACTGAGTATTAAAAGAGTTAAAAATTAATATTAATAGTAAGTCACATTTGGATAGCACTTCACACTTCCCTGAAGTCACTGTGCTGTGTCCTGTCTTTGCCTGCACCTGGTGACAGACTCAGTCCTTGACCACAGGGATGGGCGTGTGGCTGTCATGGTAGTCCATGCCCCTGGGCATGGGCTCAGTGATTGGTTCAGAAACAAGTCAGTTAAGATTCTTCTTTTTTTTTTTTTTTTCCTGGTAGAGCTAATGGGGAGAGTCTCTCTTTATTCTCAAATCCTGGATTTGGAAAAAGGAGATTCTGGGTCCTGTCATAGAAAATGAAAGACGAAAATGAATCCATGCAGAGCTGAGTAAGGAGATTGGGGGAGGCTGAGTGAAAGGGATTCCCACGGATGCCTAAGGCCCCATTTCCAGTGCCTAAGACCTCAGAGTGGTCTTGTTCTGTGTCCCTCCTGAGGTTTATTTAATAATTAATCCCTCAAATCTATAAGCCATCTTGTGTGCTCTCAATAAGCACCCTCTGCCCCCCTTTTCTTCTTTTTTTCTTTTTTGAGATGGAGTCTCACTCTGTTGCCCAGGCTGGAGTGCAGTGGTGCCACTTCAGCTCACTGCAACCTCTGCCTCCCGGGTTCAAGCAATTCTCCTGCCTCAGCCTCCCAAGTATCTGGGATTACAGGCGTGCACCACCATGCTTGGCTAATTTTTTTGTATTTTTAGTAGAGATGGGGTTTCTCCATGTTGGTCAGGCTGGTCTTGAAATCCTGACCTCAGGTGATCCGCCCGCCTCAGCCTCCCAAAGTACTGGGATTACAGGTGTGAGCCACTGCGCCCAGCCAATAAGTCCCATTTTGAGTTGTTCCCCTGACCAGCCTACACTTACCAGGGCTCCATCCATCAGTTCTGCAGCTATTCACTTCACTAAGAGACATCAGGCACACATTCCCGATTGTGGCTTCAATGTATTTAGGTGATTGGCATTAAAAGAAAATATTTGCAGGATGATTTTTCACCTTAACTTGAACTGCTTCTAGATTTAAATTTAATTTTGTAAATTTATTTTGATTATAAAACCAACACAAACTTATTTCAGAAAATGGAAAGTTTAGAAGCATACAAGAAAGCAGGTAAATGTTTACTTATAATCCCACCACCCAGATACCTTTGTTATTAAAGTTTCCTTCTAGCCATTTTACGTATGCCCCAAATGCCCTCTTCACAGCTCACCTGGGAAGCCAGCAGTGTCACTGTGCAGTACTGTCACACTACAAGATAACTCGTACCTCACGTTGCCTGTCAATGGCAGTCTAGCCTTCTCATCTCCACCCTCCAATCCCTACACATGTAGCATTTCCAGAACTGCGCAAGAGGGATTCCTAGGTCTCCCAAGCCCATCTGGGGGCCACCCGTCCTGCTGGCCAGCCACACTCACACTGGACTGTGGCTGTTCCAGAATGTTCCTTTTCCTGTCACTTCTTCCACCTTCATAATCAGCTTCTCTAGCCTACTGTTGCTTAGAGTCACTACTGATTTCTGTGTAACACATTAAACTAACACTGAAGAAACATTTGAAATGTTTTCTAAAAAGATTTTTTAAAATGTTGGTTATCTTATTGCTTCTGTGGCTAAGGAATTCAAGAGTGGACGGGTGTTTCCAGATCCGGGTCTCAGGTGTGGTTGCAGCTGGAATGTTGGTAGGGGCTGCAGTCTTCTGAAGGTTGGACTGGGGCTGAAGGATCTGCTTCCAAAATGGCTCATGTTAACTTGGAAATCACACAATTTATAAATTTGGAAAGGAGACTTTATTTCTTATATAGGGTTATAGCCTGCAAGGTGGCCATTTTGAGAGGGTGGGAAGCATAGCCTCTGGCCAAAGCTCCAAAAGCAGGCACTTCCTATGTTTACTTATAATCCTTATTGTTACGCAGGTACATATAAGAGACCACCTGAGCAGGCTTAGTGTGAGCAACAAGGCTGTTTATTCACTTGGGTGCAAGTGCACTGAGTCTGAGAAAGGGGTCAGCGAAGGGTGGTGAGATTATCATTGGTTCTTATGGGTTTGGGATAGGCGGTGGAGTCAGGAGCAGGGATGGATGTTACAAAGTACATTCTCAAGGAGTCAAGAGCAATTTTGTTTTTTGCTGGCAGGGGATGGATGTTACAAAGTACATTCTCAAGGGCTGGGAGAATATTACAAAGTACATTCACAAGGGCAGGGAGGGTGTATTGTCACAAGGGCGGGGGAGGAATGTTACAAAGTACGTTCACAAGGACGAGGAATTTCACAAAGTACATTATCACAAGAGCAGGGGGATGTCAGGATGGCTTGACCATGGTGTGGCCAGCTCAGGCACCTTACGCTTATAATCCCACCACCCAGATAATTTCATTATTAAAGTTCCCTTCTAGCTGTTTTATATATAACCCATATAAAACAGGGAGTGGTAGGTCAGGAATTTAAGCTGAATGGGTTGGTCAGGTGAGAAATATTTACTCAACAGGTTTTAGGAAGAGCTATGAATATTCATGAAGGTGGTCCTAACACATGCACATTGATCAAACATGGATTTTATGTCCAACCCCATTCACCTTGGGACTTCACATTTGAATGCATTACAATTAGGCCCCATACATCAAAAGGGCTTTCAGAAGGCCCTCAAGTGCACTGCCTCTGTAAACCAGCCAGAACTGGTCCATGGTCAGTGGTCTTCTTACAAGGATAAAGTTACTGACATTAGTCTTTTGTCCAGTCAAAGCTGTAGTTTTGGTTTGTGGAACAGGGGGGTCAGTTAGCATCTGGCGGTGGAAGAGCTTTAAATTGTTCTAATATTGCTTATCTTGAGGCCAGTGCTTGTTTAGGTGCTAAAGGAAAAGAAAAACCTTGTGGCAGTTAGAACAGAGTTTATTCTTTAAGAATAGGGGCACGTGATTTAACCCTTACCTGGCATGACCTTAGATCCAATTTCTAATTGGGTATCTTACACCACCAAGGGTCCATTCTGTCAGTCTTATGATCTCTATTTAACATTAATGCTGGTTAGTCATTGTGTCTAAACTGCAAAAGGGAGAGGTTATAACAAGGCATATCTGACCTCCTGTCTCATCACGGCTGGAAACTCAGTTTTTAAGGTTTTTCCGGGGTGCTTTTGGCCAAGAGGGGGATTTTTCAGTTGGCTGAGGGGCTTAGGATTTATTTTTAGTTTACACTCACATAGTTAGCAAGGCTGTCTTGGCAGCAAGCCTCAGTCCCTCCCATATAGACGTTGCCATCATGCTACTTGAGTGTCCTTAAAGCATAGCAGCTGGCTTCTTGCAGCGTAGGAGATCCGAGAGAAAGAGCAAAACAGGCTGGGCACAGTGGCTCATGCCTGTAATCTCAGCACTTGGAAGCCAAGGTGGGCAGGTCACCCAAGATCAAGAGTTCGAGACCAGCCTGGCCAACATGGCGAAACCTCGTCTCTACTAAAAACACAAAAAATTAGCCAGGAGTGGTGGCAGGCACCTGTAATCTCAGCTACTGGGGAGGCTGAGGCAGGAGAATTGCTTGAACCCAGGAGGCGGAGGTTGCAGTGAGCCGAGATGGCACCACTGCACTCTAGCCTGGGCGACAGAGCAAGACTCTGTCTCAAAAAAAAAAAAAAAAAAAGAGCAAGACAGATGACACGGTATCTTTTGTGATCCTGCCCTTAAAGCCACATTCTGTTGCTTCCATGATATCCTATTGGTTATACAACCCTATTTAGTGTGGCGGGAGACTACATAAGGGTGCAAAACCTGAGGGACAAGAGTCAATAACACATGTATATGGCTTAACAATCCTAACATTATCACCAAGATTATCATCAAAAATAACAGTTGCCAGTATATACTGTTAACTTCTTTATCCTATTCTCCTTTTGTCTACCTTCAATTTCTTTCTTTCTTTTTCTTTCTCTTTTTTTTTTTTTTTTTTTTTTAAGAGACAGGGTCTCACTCTGCTACCCAGGCTGGAGTGCAGTGGTGTGATCACAGCTCACTGCAGCCTCAAACTCCTGGGCTCAAGCAGTCCTCTCACCTTGGCTTCCCAAAGTGTTGAGATTACAGGTGTGAACCACTGTGCCCAACCCTATCTTCTTTTCTAAATAAAATACTTGTAACACAAATTCTAGTTTTTCAGTTCCTACTTCTTCTTACCTATCAGTTGACTTTCCACCGTGGAAGATGTGGCGTTAGATCCCCTATATTGTTCTTCTAGCCCTACCCTTTACCATATACTTCCTTCATCTTCCCAATATATTAATAATTAGATGACTATTTTTTGGTTAAATCAATATAGTATGTTCTTAAAAATTATGTCCATGTAGATGTTATTTACAAAGGAAGCTATATTGCATGCTATAATACATTTCCTTGTGTTCATTTTCCCTAGAGTTATTAATTGCCCCATATTTCACTTGTTTAGTATTTTATGCACCTTTCATCTTCAATATATCTAAGAGAATTTTTTTAAAAATCTTAGGCTGGGCATAGTGGCTCACACCTGTAATCCCAGCACTTTGAGGGGCCAAGGCATGTGGATCGCTTGAGCCCAGGAGTTTGAGACCAGCCTGGGCCAACATGGCAAAACTCCATCTCTACAAAAAAAAAAAAAAACCAAAAAAACAACTTAGCTGGGCATGGTGATGTGCACCTGTAGTCCCAGCTACTCTGGAGGCTGAGATGGGAGGATGGCTTGAGCCCAGGAGGCGGAGGTTGCAGTGAGCCAGGATCGCGCCATTGCACTGCAGTCTGGGCAGCAGAGTGAGAACCTGTCTCAAAAAACTAAATAAATAAAAATAAATTAAAAATCCACTCCAATGGGTTCAAACAGTATGGTGGCTCACATTCACCCACATCCCCTACCCCATCCACCCTCAAATAAAACATCTTTTTTGGAGCCCTCTGTCTTCTTGCACCAATTTGGTCTGCTTCTCTGTAGGACTGCTGCACCACTGTTGCCCTGGGATTTTCCCCGTCAGGAAATCCTATGGATTTTTTCTCTTCACTCTTGCTGGATTCCCTATTTTATGAATGCCTCTCTTTCCCTTTCTTTATTAATTGACTTATTTTGGTGAAGAACATCATCTAGCAGCTTTTTATGAAAGAGTGTATAAAACTTAAATTTTTGAGACCTTATAATACTTGAAGATGTCTTTATTCTATCTACATGTAAACTATAGAGTATGGAATTCCAGTTTTGAGATAATTTCCCAGCATCCTGAAGGCACCACTCCATTGTCTTTGATCTTCTGGGGCTACTGTTGGGCAGTCTAGTGCCACTGTCTTTCACGTCATAGGCATTCCTGAGGTGTCTAATAATTCTCAATTGATTATTCCTATTTAAAAGTGAGATTCTAAAATCTTTGTTTGGAAGCTTCATGTGAATGGATGAGAACTTTTGACTTTTTCGTTTCCCTGTAGGGTGATCAGGTCGGAAATTCTTTGTTGGAAAACTCCCAAAGGCCATTCATGCTGGTTCTTTTCTCTTGGGCTCATTCATTTCCCTAGAGAAAAATCCTCCAACCTCCTGCCTATTAACATTCCATGCACAAGATAGGTGGAAAACTGGAGATAGGGTGTCACCATTCAGTACTTGGACATTTACATACACACTCATGTTCAGTTGCACCTGGTGCCCCACATTCAGAAGGAGACTCAACCTCCAGTTTTCTGCTGGGGCAGGGTAGAGGCAATTGCTTAGCTGTGGAGAAGAGGGGATCCTGAAATATAACTACCCCTTGTAATAATTTCAATGGATCCTCCTATTTTTGTCCCCACCTCCTACCCCTGTTTTTAGAGGTACCTGGAACCTCCAATCCCGGTGCCTTTTTGGAGCTGTAGTTAGAATTGGTTTGCTTCTTCTTGGCTTCCTTGCCCATTCCCACTGCCCGCTCTTGTGGTCTCAGGTTCTGCTCTGACTACTGAGTCAAGTGCCATTGGTCTATCTGCTCTCCAGCTTCCAAAATGACGTCCACATCACTCATTTGAGATCTTTTCTCTCATATTGTGGAATTATACTTGTTTCTTTCTTTCTGCAATTTTAGTAGGCAGTATGAGGGGGAAGAAAGACAAATATGTATGTTCAACTTACCATGCTTAACCAGAAGTCTTTTCATAGGTTTCTATGCCATCGTTGTTGTGGTGGTGGTGGTTGTTTTTGAGACAGGGCTGTCTCTGTCACCCTAACTGGAGTGCAATGGGATGATCACGGCTCACTGCAACCTCTGCCTCCCAGGCTCAAACGATCCTCCAATCTCAGCCTTCTGAGTAGCTGGGACTACAGGCATGCACCACCACACCTGGCTAATTTTTGTGGTTTTGTAGAGACAGGGTCTTACCATGTTGCCTTAAACTCCTGGACTCAAGTGATCTGCCCACTTCAGCCTCCCAAAGTGCTGAGATTACAGGCATGAGCCACTGCTCCCAGCCTGTATGCTGTTTTTTAATTCATTTTTTGGTAACTTACCAATTTATGTTCTTCCTCCACTGATAAGATTATTCTTCTTTCTTTACTAATATTTAGGAGCTCTGTACATATAAAGGTATGATTATTTTAAATATATTGTTTTCATTTCAATGATTTTTTAAAGCATGTTCTGATTTTCTGGTGGACCAGAGTACTGGCAAGAATTTTTATTGCCTGCATTTGCATTTGTGAAGTTTGTGAACTAAAGCCTAAATGATATCATGGCACACTCTATAAATGAATAGTTTATAACATCTTGAATAAAGTGGCAGAAGAATTGAATCAGCCATAGCATATGATAATATAAATATGCAGAATTCTAAAGATCCTATTCTCTGGAAGGCAGTACCATTTTCATATTTGAAAGTGGTTGCATGGAGTGTTCTGTATCTGTATGCACCAAATAAAACAGTCTATTAGCAGGGAAGAATGCCTTTCTTCCCACTTCCAGTAATAATCGAATTAGATAATAGTGAATGTATATTTAAATAATGCTGCAATGCTAATGTTATCCTCCAATGACTAAAACAGCTTTATAGAATTATTATTTGAAGATTGCTTCTTGGTAAAATTTTAATTATCAGTTCTAATTTTCCAGGAGTTATAAAATAAAAGTTTAAAGTTTTTTATATTGTTTTATACAATGCCCTTATATAAACAACCTTTCTTGGCTTTAGGTTTTTAAAAATCAAATGCAGAAACAGATGAAATACCAAAACAGTTCTAAGAGGACATCTTTCCACTATGAAACCTGACATCAGTAACTGCACACAACTAACAGTACCTGTCACATTACATTCCAGTTGTTCATATCAATTTTATTAGTTTTGTAGTTTGGGGGTATTTAACTTTTAGATTTGTGTATTAGTCAGGGATCTCTAGAGAAACAGAACCAATAGGGCATGCGCACGCGCACGTGTGTGTGTGTGTGTGTGTGTGTAGAGAAAGAAAGAGATTTATTTTAAGAAATTGGCTCACACTAGCTGGGCACAGTGGCTCACACCTATAAACCCAGCACTTTGGGAGGCTGAGGCTGGAGGGAGGATCGCTTGACCCCAGGAGTTCAAGACCAGCCTGGGCAACATAGCGAGACCCTTAAGTCTGTTTTTTTTAAAAATTGTTATATATTAAAAAAAAAAGAAAGAAAGAAATTGGCTCACATGATTATGGAGGTTGCAAGTCCAAAATCTCCAGGGCAGGCCAACAAGCTGGAGACCCAGGGGAGAGCTGTTTTACAGTTCAAATCCAAATGCCCTCTCCTGACAGAATTCCTTCTTGCTGGGGAGAGAGCAGTCTTTTTCTATTAAGGCCTTCAACGGATTGGACGAGGCCCACCTGTATTGTGGAGGGTATCTGCCTTACTCAAAGTCCACTGACTCAAATGCATTAATTTCATCTAAAAGGAAACCTTCATAGCAACATTTAAAACAATGTTTGCCCAAATATCTGGGTACCATGGCCTAGCTAAGTTGACACATAAAATTAAACATCACAATTTGTTTTGGTTTTAAGGTTGTATAAGAGCCACAAGGATCAGGATTTCAAATCTTGCCTTAAATACATATTTTTGAAGTGTTTTTAATAAAAACACTTTAACAGCATCGGGGCAGTGGCGGGGGTGGGGAGTGGGGTCTGTACTTTTTTTCTTTTAAAAGCATCTGAACTGTCCTCAGGCTGAAGAGCAGTCTTCCAGAACTGAAAACTTGCTAAAGATTTTCCCCCTGGCCAGGCGCAGTGGCTCAAGCCTGTAATCCCAGCACTTTGGGAGGCCGAGACGGGCGGATCACGAGGTCAGGAGATCGAGACCATCCTGGCTAACATGGTGAAATCCCGTCTCTACTAAAAATACAAAAAATTAGCCGGGCGTGGTGGCGGGCGCCTATAGTCCCAGCTACTCCGGAGACTGAGGCAGGAGAATGGCGTGAACCCGGGAGGCGGAGCTTGCAGTGAGCCGAGATCGTGCCACTGCACTCCAGTCTGGGCGACAGAGCAAGAGTCCATCTCAAAAAAAAAAAAAAAAAGATTTTCCCCCCAAAAAACTTAAAAGCAATCTTCCTTCAAAGATGAATCCTGCCTCTGCCCATAACACAGAGAGGGAACTTGCTGGCAGCTGCATCCAGGCCCTGGGCTTCAGGGTTTTAGAAGTGTGGCTCTGCTTATCTACACAGTATATGATCTGCTTTTTTCTCTTAACATTTGGAATAAGGCTCTATGTCTTCCTTCTTAAAAGATGTTTTCCTTATTGGTTTGATTTCTATGAAATTGATTTCAGTGAAACATAATAAAGTTATTTACAATGATCACTGGAAATAACAGCTACAATATGGCCTGGAAAAGAATATTGTGAACCAGCATTAAGATATGTTGAGGGTAATGGTGTATTATGAAGTTCATATGTATTTAGCAAAAGATTTTATATAAAAGGATCCTTTTACTTCTCTATCCTCAATTCCTGAGTAAAAAACACATCCCATGAATGTCATCTCATGCAGAAAAGAGAACTGTACTAATAGTTTCATTAGAACAGAAAAATCATCCGAATAAAAATATCAGATGATTCATTAAGCAAACCCCTACCCACTGCCTTAAAACCCTAGGCTTGCTGTCATTTAGATTTCCTGTCAGGAACGCCATATTTCAGCTATAAATAGAACATGGCAGCAGATAGAGCAGCTTTTTAATGAGGTCATTCCAGAGTCTGCATGATTTATTTTCTTTGAGTCTTTGCCATTTTTTGCTTCAGATGTGGCCCCTTTGTGATGATGATGCAACGTGACAGAATCATACCAGACTTCCAGAGCACTACCCTTGCCGCCCAAGTGCCCGCTCTCCCTCCTCCTTCCTCTCCCTCTCTGTCCTCCTTTGCACACTTGCTTTTTAAAGCCTCTTGTAAAGGGGCAGCAGTCAGAGGCTTCTGTCATATGTTTAGAGACCACCGATTGGGTCTCACTTTTGATCACTCTCCCATCAGACACTAAATGTCCCAGCTGGAGCTTGGCTCATGTCTGGCTCTCCTAAGGTTGTTTACCTTCTTTCCTGAACTTTATGATTGATGATAGGGGTGTGAGGGGTGTGGAATAATGGAGACAGACATAAGACTAATAAATTAAAAGCAATTGAGTGAGCTGAGAGTTTTCCCATCTTCCTTATTAAACCTGACTCTATAATAGCTCCTAAAAGAATAACAGAAATGGAAAACACCGTCTCTAGTCAATACCCTTTCACTCAATGTGATTTTCCAGATGCTGGGAAGGGCCCTCCAACCCCAGTTCCCCACTCTCCTTCCCCTGTCACCAGTGCATGATTATACTTACCTAGGGACAAAAGCCTTTGTTCCCAGTGGTGACAGTTTTGGTGGCTCTGGAGGCTTTAGCGTTCCCTGATTCTAGCAACACCCTGAAAGACACACCAACAGTCCTTCCAAATCTCCATGTGATCTAAGTTAGAGCTCGGAGGAAGCACAGCTTCACAAGGCCCATCCTCCCCAGCGGCCTTCCCAGGCCCTCCAGCCAGCCCACACTCTGCCTTCATCCCAGGGTTGCTTGGCTCCTACTGGGGGTCTATGGGCGGGAGTACCACAGCTGCATTACCGAGCACATTCCTGCCTCCTGGTCTAGAGGCAGGCTGAAAAAGGCTGGCTGTTGGTTTCACAACACATTTAGCAGAAGCACCTGACCTGACCTGAGCCCTCCTGGTGGAAAACCCAACCGGGTCTCCTGTGAGGTGTTTCGGTCTGGACTTGTCGGCTGAGGGACAGCTGCGTCCATCAGTGTCCCTTTCCCGGCTGGGAACTACTTGAGGGTTCCCAGGACTGTGCTTCTTTGTCTTTGTATCTCCAGTGCCTAGCACAGGAGGGGCACGTAATAAGTGCCCTTTAAATATTTGCTGAGTTTAATTGAATCTTTATCTGAACACTTAGGAAAAAAGCAAGTGACACCACATGGAACTATCCTTCAGGACGGGGCACTCACTCACTCATGGAATCAGTCCTTCATTTAATTAACATGTATCGAGGGCCAACTAAGCCTAGGTTTCCGGCTTTCTGCTTTGCCTCAGGAAAGTAAAAGTGAGTAATAGGCAATCTCTGTGCTTGTTTAGTTCATAGCCAAGAAGGGAAGACAGCTAATAAGGCAGGATTTTAGTACAGTGTGATAAGAGTGCTGATAAAGGTGCATAAGTCACAAGAGCACGAAGCCAGGCATCTAACCTCGTTGTCTGGAAGGGACGTTGAGGCAGAGAGAACAGTGGAACGTTGGCATGGAGATGTGGGAGACATGAAGTTTTGTGCAAACATCTCAGTGAGGCTCCAGTGTGGCCATCACAGGGAGATGATCATGGGAGAGACACAGAAGGAAGCAAGACCGGAGCAGTTAATGAGGCCCGAGCAAGGGGACCTTGCCTACATGCTAAGGAGGCTGGGCTCTGTCCCAGAGCACCGCAGGAGGTGATTAAGCTGGAGAGCGACAGGATCAGATTTGCATTCACTGTAAAGCCAGGTGCAGTGGCTTACACCTGTAATCCCAGCACTTTGGAAGGCTGAGGTGGGAGGCTCGCTTGAGGCCAGGAGTTCAAGACCAGTCTGGGCAACATAAGGAGACCTCATCTCTGCAACAACAAGAAAGAAAGATCACTTTAAACACTAAAGACATTACTGCTTGTACATAGAGGATGGCTGAACATAATTACCGTGAGGTAGAGAGTTTTCTCCATGGGGTCCTAGCTTTAAGCTCTGGACAATTGACTGAAGGAGACAGCCCTTAGGAGAGAAAATAAAAGCTGAAAGTGACCTGAGTTTTACTACAATTGGTTATGTTACTCTATGACTCCACACAGCTCCTGTCTACTTCCACCAAAATGGCACCACCTTCCTGTTCCTAGGGATTCCCCCTAAGACAGAGGGTGGCAATGTTACTTCCTTCCATTCCGTTAGAGGCCTTGGGTTCATGAAGTGTGGTCCCCCTCCCTGCAACTTCCTGGGGAGGGCCTTTCTGAGGCAATTAGAAAATGAGAAATTCCCTTCCTCTCCATTCAGTGCCAGAAGAGGAGTGGGAGATTACAGGACTAATGGTCATGAACAGCATGAAGAGGAGACAGACATGTTCCAGGGAGTGATGGGGGTGTCTGCAGAGCATTCAGAGGCCGAACTCTCTGTTGTTCCAGGAAAATTAAGGTGGGAATCAGGGTATGTTTTGCCAACTGCAGCAGAGATCTTCCACTCCAGATAGGGTTCCCATTTGTGTCATCTGTGGCGTGTCGCACCACCCTAATTCAAATATTATGACAAGGTAGCAACCAGACGCGTTGAAGGACTGTGAGGAAACAGGCAGTGTTAGAGTACTTCCTGCATAAGAAATGATATTTTCATTTTTAAAATCTACATTCCCCTCTTGGCAGTGGCCCAGCGATGCAGACAAGGGCTGTAACAATGGCTAATGTGCAGCTCTTAGTGTACCTGCTAACTACAGGTCAGGGCACTTTTACATCCATATCACAAATCTTGATGTTTCAGTAGCCAGTTACACACTAGCAGGCAATGCTTCCCCCCCACCCCCCCAAGGGAATAAACTCCCCTGGAATACTATGTGAGGAGTCCTTGGCATGCCGATAGGGGTCAGCTGCTCCTGATGCAAGAGGGGGCGGCTTAGACCTGCCCAGTGGCCATCAGAGCTGCCACTGGGGTTGAGCCTCCAGTGTCTGCTAATCTCAGCTTCATGAGCAGCAGGGCCACTTCTACTAGGTGGGGCCTGAAGTCTGTGGTCAGTCTGGGGAACTCAGGAGGGCATCTGCCACTGTCACAGCGTTGCCGTGTGGACCCTGCGGGTCTTGGTGCGGACCCCTGTCAGTTTGCCAAGGCAACAACCATCCCATATTTGAGAAGTGGTTTCTTCTCTGTGCCACTCTCTGTACTGGAGTTCCCTATTCCCAGCAAATTGATCTGCTTCCCAAGGTAGTAAGATTCTTCAGATTCACTCAAGAGCCATTTCCCAAGGTGACCCCACAGCCCAGGGGTGGGTGGCTTGGATGGGCCCTAGTACTAAGTTCTAGTTCTGTGCTTAGAGCTGACTTCCTGATCCTCTGACTAGTTGAGGACCCTCTGTTTCATTTTCCAAGCCACCTAGGACCTTGCTTGTTTTATTACAAAGACGCCCCCTAGAGTTTGGATCCTGGTTCTGATTTTTTATTTTTTATTTTTTGGTCACCCTTTTCTTTTATGCTGAGCCACCTTTCAGGAACTCCAGTGCCCTTTTCTGCTCCTTGGCCTGAGTCAAGACCTTGCCCAGGCCATGAAATATATTTTTACAGTCTGACAACTCAATGGGGGGACTTCTGCTTCTGGGAAGATACTTTCCCCTATTCTTCCCACTGAGTGCAGCTCAAAACCATGGACTTTATATATACAGTAAACATAAGAAGGCTCTGAAAGGTAGAAAGAAGAAGGCAGACGGGCCAGGGACCTTGGGCCCCAAGTGTCATAGGCCGAATTGTGTCCCTCCAAAATTCATATGCTAACATTTTCATCCCCAGTGATTGCATTTGAGGATAAAGTCTTTAAAGAGGTAAGGAAAATGAGGTCATTTAGAGTGGGCCCTGTCATGCCGGACCCCTACTGACTTCAGTAGAGTTGGTGCCATGTTTGAGAGGCTGAAGAAGAGACCTGGAGCCAGTGCATGAGACATAGGGTTTATTGAGGGGACTTACATACAGGGTGGCCCAGTGGTGATGGGCTGCACAGGAAAACTGCAACCACCTGTCAAAAGCATGTGGTTTACATAGCATTTTCACTTAGCACCCTCCCCTGGCAACCTCCATCTGGCAACCTTCATTCAACCCATGATGAAGCCTGCATTCCATGGGATGGGTCAAGGGTTCCAATGCTCCTCATAGATAAGGAATGAATCTCCAGGTTGGCCACTCCAAGTTATTGCTGTCAGGTACATCTGCCATATAGGCCCTAATCCAATATGACTGGTGTCCTTTTAAGAAGAGAAGATTAGGACACAGACAAATACAGAGGGAAGATCATGTGAAGACACCATGAGAAGAGAGCCATCTGCAATCCAAGGAGAGGGGCCTGAAAAGAAGCCAATCTTGCTGACACGTTGATCCCAGACTTCCAGCCTTCAGAACTGTGAAATAATACATTTCTGTTGTTTAAGTCAACCAGTCTGTTGTACTTGTTATGATAGCTCTAGGCAACTGATATACCAAGGAATCACACAGTGGTGAGTTTCTTTAGCCTTATGTATTCCAGACACGGAGCTCAATAAGTCAGCAACCTGAAAACACCAACAGGTTTAGACCAAAAACCAAGCCCCCAACAAAAGCCCACTTATCTAGCCAAAAGACAAGGAAAGGGTCAGCCTAGCAAGGCAGAGACATTTTAGATAATAACAGCTCTGCTCCAGACGAACATTATAGAGAAAACTGTGGCCTCACCCCTACCCATGCCTGCAGAAGCCAAGCAGGAAGCCTAGACTTCCAGCCTCATCAGGCTGTAACGAGGCATCCCTAGTTCTCTCACTGGGTTTGTGTCTGAGAAGGCTGAGTAGGGAGAAGGAACTTTCATTCCTCTAGGGTGGTAAAGAGCCTCCCAACCCTGGTGTCATTGAAGGCCACATGGAGAGGTGCAATGAGACACTCCTAACTCAGCCAGGGACATATCAGTGGAGGCCTAGTGAGGTCTGGAATACCCATCCCTGCCCAGGAGAAATGAGGAGCCTCCTCCCTCAATTATCACCAGAGGCCACCAGGGAAGCCTGGTCTTCTCCTCCCACCAGGCACTCCCCCTTATTCCTGCCAGAGCGGTGTCAAAGGGAGCCAGCTGAATTAGCCCACTAAATTGTATTAGCCAATGCAATATGTAGCCAATGCAATATTTACTACATAAATCTTATTCAGAATCTTATAATATAATACAAAAATGTCCAGGTTTTAATAGGAAATCACACAGCATATCCAAAATAGGAAGACCTCAAGTCAAATCACAAAAGGTCATCAATGGATGCCAGCACCAAGGTGACAGAGATGTTAGAATTATCTGGAAAAAATATTTTAAACATTTTATGTTATTTATTTATTTATTTTTATAAACAGAGACAGGGTCTCACTATATTGATCAGGCTGCTCTCAGATTCCTGACCTCAAGTGATCATCTTGCCTCAGCCTCCCAAAGTGCTGGGGTTACAGGCTGGAGCCACTGCACTGAACCAAACAAAGATTTTCTAAAGCAACCATCATAAACATGCTTCAGTGAGCAATTACAAACAGGCTTGAAACAAATGAAAAATAGACTCTTCAAAGAATAGAATGTTTTAGCAAAGGAATAGAAGATACAAAGAAGGACTAAATGGAAATTTTAGAAGTGAAAAATGCAATAACCACTATATAATGTAAAAAAACACAGTGGATGGTCACACTAGCAGAACAGAGGGAACAGAGGAGAGGATCAGTGAACAGGAAGACAGAAACATAGAAATTATGAAATCTAAACCACTGGAAAAAGGGAACAGAGCCTCAAGGACCTGCAGGATCCTAACAAAAGATCTAACATTCATGACATTGGAATCCCAGAAGAAGAGGGGAAAAATGTTGAGGCTGAAAAAGTACTAGAAGAAATAATGGCTGAAAACTCTGCAAGTTGGGAAAAGATAGCAATCTATAGAATCAAGAGGGTAACCTAATTCCAAACAGGATAAACCCAACATAATACACACCTAAGCTCATTGTGGCCAAACTGCTGAAAACTAAAGACAAAGAAAAGTCTTGAAAGCAGCATGAGAAAAATGCCTTACTTGAAGGGAAAAATAACTCCAGTGACAGAGGATTTCTCATCAGAAACCACGGAGTGAAGGAAGTGGCACAACATCTTTTAAGTACTGAAAGAAAAAAACTGTCAAGCTAGAATCCTGTAAACAGTGAAAATATTTTTCAAGAATGAAGGAAAAATCAAGACATTCTTAGTCAATGGAAAACTAAGAAAATTTGTCACCAGGAGACCTACCTTAAAAAAATGACTAAAAGAAATTATCTAAACAGAAGGGAAAATTTAAAAAAAAAAGGAATCTGGGGACATCAAGAAGGAAGACAGGATATAGTAAGCAAAAATACCAGTAAATATGATATACTTTCCTTCTTCTTTTGATTTTCTATATTATGTTTGACAGTTGAAGCAAAAATTATAACACTCTTTGATGTGGTTCTAAATGTATGTATAGCAAATAATTAAAACAGTTATAAATACGGCATACACAGGGATGTAAATTCAGGTAAAGTTTCTATACTTCACAGGCAACTTACTCAACTTGATAAAGAACATCTACCAAAATATCCTATAACTATACTTAATGGCAAAAGACTGAAGGTTTTCCCAAAAAGACTAGGGACGAAGCAATGATGTCCACTCTCACCACTCCTATTCAATGTAACACTGAAAGTTCCAGCCAGTGGAATAAGGCTAGAAAAAGAAATAAAAATATATGGACTGGAAAGGAAGAAATAAAATTGTCCTTACTTGCAGATGACAGGATTGCCTGTATGAAAAATATGAAGGAATCTACAAAAAATCTCCTATCACTAATACGTGATTTCGGCAAAGTCACAAGATACAAGTAAAAATACAAAAGTCAAATGTTTTTCTATATGCTAGCAATTAACACATGGGCATCAAAATTAAAAAATATAATACTATTTACAATCACTCAAAATAAAATGAAATATTTAGCTGTGAATCTAACAAAATATTTATAGCGCCTGTGTGCTGAAAACTACCAAACACCAGTGAAAAAAATAGAAGAGAATCTAAATAAATGATGAGGCATATCACGTTCATAATTGGAAGATGCAACTTTGTAAAGGTGTCAATTCTCCCAAAATGATATGCTGATTTAATACAACTCCTATCAAAATCCCAGCAATATTTTTGTAGATATAGGCAAGATTATTCTACACTTTATATGGAGAGGCAAAGGGACTAGAATAACTAAAACGATCTTGAAAAGATCTGAGGAATCAGTCTACCCATTTTCATGACTTACAGTACAGCCACCGTAATCATGACTGCATGGTATTGGCAGAGGCAGAGACACATAGATCAACAGAACAGGCAGAGAACCCAGAAATAGATCCACACAAATTTACCCAAATAATTTTTGACAAAGCAATTCAATGGGGGAAAGATCACTTTTTCAACAAATGGTGCTTGAATAATTGAACATCCGTAGATTAAAAAACAAAAAACAAAGACCACCTCAATCTAAATTTCATACCTTATACAAAATTAACTCAAAATAGATTACAGACTTAAATGTCAAATGGAAATCTGTAAAATCTTAAGATTAAAAGAAATAGGAGAAAATCTTAGAGCTAGGCAGAGTTCTTAGACTTGACAACAAAGCATGATACATAAAATTTAAAACTGATAAAATGGACTTTATCTAAATGAAAGACTTTTGTTCTAAGAAAGACATTTAGGAGGATGAAAAGACAGCCTACTAACTATGGGAAAATATTTGCAGACCACATATCTGAAAAGAACTAGTATGTAGCACATGTAAAGAACACTCTGGGGACCAAGGCGGGAGGATGGCTTGAGCTCAGGAGTTTGAAGCTGCAGAGAGCAATGATGGCACCACACTGCCCTCCAGCCTGGGCAACAGAGCAAGACCTTGCCAAAAAAACAAAACAAAACAAAACAAAAACTCTCCAAACTCAACAATAAAATTCAAACAATCCAGTGTGCAAAAGTCATGAAGAAATATTTCACCGAAGACAAAATACAGATGGCAAATAAGCACTTGAAAAGATGTTTGGCCGGGTGTGGTGGCTCACGCTTGTAATCCCAGCACTTTGGGAGGCTGAAGCAAGCAGATCACTTCAGGTCAGGAGTTCAAGACCAGCCTGGCCAACATGGTGAAACCCCGTCTCTACTAATAATACAAAAATTAGCCAGGCGTGGTGGCAGGTGCCTGTAATCCCAGCTACTCGGGAGGCTGAGGCAGGAGAATTGCTTGAACCCGGGAGGCTGAGGCAGGAGAATTGCTTGAACCCAGGAGGCAGAGGTTGCAGTGAGATGAGAGATTGCGCCACTGCACTCCAGACTGGGTGACAGGGCAAGTCTCCATCTCAAAAAAAAAAAAAAAAAAAAAGAAGAATGAAAAAAAGAAAAAGAAAAAAGAAAAGATGTTCAACATCATTAGCCATTAGAGAAATGCAAATTTTAAAACACACCTATTAGAATGACTAAAATAAAAAATAGTTGTTTTTATTTTTAAATGTGGCAAATAAAGAGAGGTAAAGGTAGGTAAGGTTTCTATACAAGGGTAACTTAACTTGATAAAGAACATCTACAAAAATCCCTATACTTAACAGTATACCTCATGGTAAGAGACTGAAGGTTCTCCCAAAAAGATCAGGAACAAAGCAAGGATGTCCATTTTTACCACTCTTATATATAAATATAGTTGTTGTTATTTTTTATCTTAGTCATTCTAATCGGTGTGTTTTAAAATTTTTCAAATTATTATTGAATGCTGAGGAGAATTAAGAAAAACTGGATCAAGATCTAGAAGGTTTCCCTTACCACAATTTAAATTGCTGATGGAATTGTAAAGTGATAAGGTCACTTTGAAAAACATTTTGACAGTTTTAAAAAATATTAAACCTGCCACTACCATGTATTCCTTGGCCTTTACCTTACAGAAATGAAAAGCTGTGTTCACATAGAAACCTGTACATGAATGTTTATAGAAATTTTCTTCATTATATCCTAATATTGGAAATAATCCAAATGTTCTTCAGTGGGAATATGGTTAAACAAACCATGGTACAGCCATACCGTGGAACACTACTTAACAGTAAAATGATATAAACTTTCATTCAGGCAACAACCTGGATGAAGCTCCAGGGAATTATGCCGAGTGAAAAAAGTGTGTGATTTATATAATTTTTTTTTTTTTGACAGAGTAGTGCTTTGTTACCCAGGCTGAAGTGTAGTGGCATGATCTCGGCTCACTGCAACCTCCACCTCCCGGGTTCAAGCAATTCTGGTGCCTCAGCCTCCCAAGTAGATGGGATTACAGGTGCACACCACCATACCCAGCTAATTTTTTTTTCTTTCTTTTTTTTTTTTTTTAGTAGAGATAGGGTTTCCCTATGTTGGCCAGGCTGGTCTTGAACTCCTGGCCTCAAGTGATCCACCCACCTCGGCCTCCCAAAGTGCTGTATTCTTGAAAGTATAGAAATTATAGAAATGGAGAACAGCCAGTGAGTGGCTACCAGGCACTAAGGAGTGGGTGATGGTGGAAGGCAAGTGGGTGTGGCTATAAAAGGACAACAGGAAGATCCCGGTGGTAATGGAAACCTTCTATATCTTGACTGTATCAATTCCAACATCTCAGTTGTGATATTGTGTTGTAGTTTTGCAAAATGTTATCATTGAGGAAACTAAGTAAAGTTTCATGGAATCCCTCTGTATCATTTTTTACAACTTATGTGAATCTGCAATTATCTCAAAATAAAAAATTATATTCAGTTGGGCATGATGGCTCAGGTGTTTCTCTCCAGGACTTTGAAAGTCCAAGGTGTTAGGATTGCTTGAGCCCAGGAGTTCAAAGTTGAAGTGAGCCATGATTGTGCCACTGAACTCCAATCTGGGTGACAGTGAGAACTTGACTCAAAAAAATAATATTTTTTTGATTAAAAGAAAAACCCTAGCGATTATTTCTGGCTTTATATAGTATAGCCAGTTCAGTATTTCCTCCTGCTCCTCTCAGAAGCCAAACAAAAATAACGAAGAAAACGAGAAACAGACATGCTAACACCATCCTTGACAAAACTAGGAAACAGTAGAAACCCCAAATCACACGATAGTAGGAAGGGCGGTCTAACAATGAAGGTCAAGTTGAAGTGCAAGCAGATGCAGAAGATGCAGATTTTTAAGAGGAAACCTGCAAAGGCCAAAGTGAAACAGTGGATGTAGACTGATGGTAAGGGAAAAAAAAAAAATCCTGTGGACTCAGTTTGATTCCAAAGCAAAGTAGAGGAAGTAGAAGCTGAATAAGCCATTATACAGACAACCTGCATCTTTAGGGAGCATTTTGTCAATGTGGCAGGATGGAGGAGAAAGACTGCATTGTGAATCACCCTCAGTAACGATCTCAGTTGTTGAAGGAAAAGTAATCATTAAAGAAATCATTCACATACACAATCTTGCAGGATGAGAAGAATTATTCTGACTGTACCAGATGAGAGAGTTTCCTCCTGCAAGTGATGAGTCCAGGAAGGACTCACTTTATTCAAAGATGGGTATTCAAAATGGAAAACCCCTCCCTGGGACTTATATTTTTTTTTCTTTTTCACTATAAGAAAAGAAAGGGGGGAAAGTTAAATGAAAGCAAGTAGCAAACAGAACAAAACAAAAACCTCTCTGGGACTTCTGCTGATAGCAGTGATGATGTGGTTTGGATGTGTGTTTCCTCCAAATCCCATGTTGAAATGTAATCCCAGAGTTGAAGGTAGGTCCTGGTGGAAGGTGCTGGGGCCATGGGGTGAGTCTCTCAGGCTTGGTGCTGTCCTTGTGATAATGAATGAGTTCTTGCTCTGAGATCTGCTTGTTTAGAACAGCATGATGCCTCCTCTCCCCTCTCTTGCTCCTGCTCTTGCCATGTGACTGCCTGCTCTCTCTTTTCCTTCCACCATGATTGGAAGCTTCCTGAGGCCCTCACCAAGGCAGGTGCTGGAGCCATGCTTGTGTAACCTACAGACCTGTGAGCCAATTAAACCTCTTTTCTTTATACATTACCCGGTCTCAGGTATTTCTTTTTATTATTATTATTGTCATTTAGTTCTTATTTCATAATCATAAACTGAACTTTGCAATCCAGCTAGGCATGGAAGGAAACCCATAGAACCCAAAGGGAACTGCAGTGAGAACACAAAGATGATAGAATACTGTGAGCAAATGGGGTGGGGGGTGCTCTCCTGAGCTACAGAAGGAATGGTCTGGTGGTTAAGATAAAACACAAGTCAAACTTATTAGCGTTGTCCACAGTCAGCAATAGTGACCTCCTTGCTGGTCTTGCCTTTCCTGGACCCAAAGCGCTCCATGGCCTCCACAATATTCAGTTTCTTCTTTCACCTTGCCAGAGACCACATGCTTGCCATCCAGCCACTCAGTCTTGGCAGTGCAGATGAAAAACTGGGAACCGTTTGTGTTGGGTCCAGCATTTGCCGTGAAAAAGATGCCAGGACCTGTAGGCTTCAGGATGAAGTTCTCGTCATGAAATTTCTCTCCACAGATGGGCTCGCCACCAGTGTCATTATGGCATGTGAAGTCACCACCCTGCCACATAAGCCCTGGAATAATTCTGTGAAAGCAGGAATCCTTAAAACCATATCTTTTCTCTCATGTGCTCAGAGCACAAAAGTTTTCTGCTGTCTTTGGAAACTACTCTGCAAACAGATCAAAACAGACGCAGCCCAAGGGCTCGCTATCATGGTGATGTCGAAGAAAATGGTGGGGTTGACCATGGCTGGTATTATGGGGCTCCTGGCCACAGCAGCATCTGCAAAGCCAAGTATTTCTTTATAGCAGCACAAGAATGGTCTAATACAAGTGGCATGAAGTTTTTCAGCAAACCTCCAACAAAAACTTTTTAAATAAAAACTGCAAAAAAAAATTTTAAGCCATCTGAAGGCATTGGAGAATGACCCAAATGGATAGAAACTGCAGGATAATTTACTCTTGAGAATGATTATAGGAGTAAGAATTGCAAGTTTATGCTATATTTTCCCTGCAAATGTTTTCCATCCCCAACCCCAAATCCTGCTGCAGAAAATCACAGCCTTTCTAGTTAAAGTGTCAGAAAACAGAGGGTAGGGTTGGCAAAACAGGAGGAGATTTAGGAGTGAAATCCTGAAATCAGGAGAGTTCCAAAAGAAGTGAATCCCAAAATATGAGTATAAATTCTGCCCAAACCTTTGACTGACTGCTGAACTATGCATATGTAAGACAGAGCCCAAGAGACTCAAAGAACTAGCAGGCAGAGGTGAGAGAGGAACGTGTTCTTGAACGCCTGCCTCAGGTGAGATATGCAAATGTGTTGCTCTTTTAACTGTGCATTCCCAACGGAGGCGTAAAGCTGAAGCCACAATGGCCTGCGGTGCCAGAAAACAGAACTGGGGCTGGAGATCAGCTGTAAGCAAGGAAATCTCAGAGAGAATAAGTCCCAATATTTCAGTGTAAACTCCTCTCAAACTTTTGACTGACTGTTTAACCGCACAGATGGAAAACACCTTCAGAGACAAGGCTATAAATGCAGCAGCTGGAAGAGAAAAGAAAGCTGGTCAGAGATGTCAGCTGATGCACTCTACAAGGGAGACAGTGTTTACAATTAGAATTTAGGCAAGCAAGTTAATGGCTTAATAGAAAAAAGTTCAATAATCTTCAGAAGAATATAACACATTACAGAGTCATTACAACATGTCACCTACAATATCAGGTTTTGAACCAAAAAATTGCCAGACGTGCAAAGAAACAAGAAAGGGTGGTTCATATTCAGGATAGAAGGACGCTTATGGAATCTTTATTGAAAGTGAACTCAGATGTTAGGTTTAGCTGATAACAATTTTAAAGCAGCTACTATAATCACACTCAGAGAATTAAAAGAAGCATGGTGTTGATGAGTGAACAAATAGAAAATCTCAATACAGAAATTAAAATTATAAAAAAGAAACAAATAAAAACTCCAGAGCTGAAAAGTACAACTGCAAGCAAAAAAAATTTTACTTGATAGGCTCAACAGCAGATGGGAGATGGCAGAATAAAGAATCAGTAAACTTGGAAGAAGATAAGTAGAAATTATCCAACCTGAAGAACAGAAAGAAAAACAAGTGAAGAAAAATAAGCAGACCCTCAGAGGCTTATAGAACAATATCAAGCAGTCCAACATAAGGCTTAACTGAAGGAGGAGGAGGAGGAGGAGGGGAGAGAGAGAGAGAGACACAGAGAGAGAGAGAATAGTCTTCATATTTCTTTATTTATGAAAAAAAGACAGAACACTCCCGATATCTGGTAAATATGAGTATATCTTGTAAAGCCCCAAAAACCCCACATTGGAGACCTTCAAAGAAAATCACACCCTGGTACAGAACATTCATTCACACCACAGAATGCCAATGATAGAGAAAATCTTGAAAACTGTGAGAAAAATAAGATATTACATACAAGATAATTAACTCATAATTTCAGCTCTGACAAGTGAAGGGCTTGGAAGTCATTACTCCCATTCTTAGAACAAGAAAAAGCTAAACAAGCCGTCAATTCATGACCTTTCTTGGACACATCAGAGAACTAAGTTTGCAGAGCAAACTGCCACCCCCAAATCTGGAGAGATGGGCAAGTCCAGAGAGTCACAAGGACACCTGCTCACCTGGAGCAGAAGCCAATGAGGGCATCAACTCTTAGAAACATGTCCATGATGATTTTGGCAAATTGCTGCAGTGAACTAGCATGAAAGTGACAAACTCCCAAGGCCTGCAGTCTTGAGGTGGGGACCTATGTTTTCATGGGTTTCACCTCCAGAAACCCCACCAGGTTCTCATGGTGAAGAGCCAAGAAAGATCCCTTCATGTCTCTGGCAGGAGTAGAAGAGGAGGCCAGGCATGGTGGCTCACGCCTGTAATCCCAGCACTTTGGGAGGCCGAGGTGGGTGAATCACCTGAGGTCAGGAGTTCGAGGAGTAGAAGAAGAACAAACATTGTCAGATGTACCCAGAAGATTTTTCACGACAATGAAAAACACTCTGTAATAAAGGTGGTTGCTCTCGAGTTTGTAATATCCATTTTTAACTTATCTAAATTCACCTTTAAACTGCGCTATACTGCTTTTGTGTATTACAGGTACCATATAGTGGGATTACCTTAAATAGAGATGACTTTTCTTATTTGTATATAAATTAATCTCAATTCCTAGATGGAGAAAATTATTTTCCAGGAAAATAAAAATTTACAAAACTGACTTTAGGAGAGAAAAAAATCTAAATGGATCAATTACCATAGAAGAAATAGAGGAATTTGTCCAAGAGCAGCTTCCTAACTATCACTGACCTTTTACTCTAGCCCCCAAAAGAATCAGGCTCCAAGTTTTCACTGGGGAATTGTACCAAACTTCTCAGGAACAGATGGCTACAATGCACTTTCAAATGTTCCAGTGCATAGAAAAGGAAAAAAAATCTTTTAAACTTTTCATACAAAGCTAGCAAATCAATCCTAACAGTGGTAGCCCAAAAAAGAAAACTACAGAACAAATTTACTTAGAAATAATTCATGCAAAAATCCTAAATAAAACATTAACAAACAGAATCCAGCAAAGGTCAGAAGGGTAATCTTTTAACCAAGTGGAGTTTATTTTGAGAATACAAGAAGAGGTCAGTAAAGAAATTTGCTATTAAAGCAATTCCCAAGAAAGAAAAATAGTATGATTATCTTCAAAGACAATCCATTTGATAAGCATCCATTCTTGATAACTATTCTGAATAGATGAATAATTACAAGGCAATCCTTTAGAATGATTAAAAACTGTATCTACCTCACCCAGTTTACCACAATGTTTATGAAATCCCCTCCCCAAGAAAGTCCCATTTAAGTCAGGAACAAGACAAAAATGTCCATTACCATCATTTCGATTTAAAGATGTTTGGAGGCACTAAGCAAGGCCGAGAGACTAGCAGGGGAAAAAAGAAGCATAAAAATGAGAAAAGGAGAAGGCAAAATCATTATTATTTGCAAATATTATTGTATATCTAGGAAACCTCAAAAAATCATCTAAAAATTAGTTCAACCACATAAATGAGTAAGGTCAGTACCAAACTGCAAAAATAAATCAGCAGGCCTGGTGGCACACAACTATAGTCCCTCCTTCTGGGGATGCTGGGGCAGGAGGGTCCCTTGAGCCCAGGAGTACCAGGCCAGCCTGGGCAACATATCAAGACCCCGTCTACTTAAATTAAATAAATGTAATTTAATTAAATAATAAATTTAATTAAAAATGAATTTAATTAAATAAATTTAATTAAAAATGAATTTAATTAAATAAATTTAATTGAAAATGAATTTAATTAAATAAATTTAATTAAAAATGAATTTAATTAAATAAATTTAATTGAAAATGAATTTAATTAAATAAATTTAATTGAAAATGAATTTAATTAAATAAATTTAATTAAAAATGAATTTAATTAAATAAATTTAATTGAAAATGAATTTAATTAAATAAATTTAATTGAAAATGAATTTAATTAAATAAATTTAATTAAAAATAAATTTAATTTAATAAATTTAATTAAATAAATTTAATTTATTAAATAAATCAACAGTTTTCAAATGTACAAACAATATCCACTTAGAATATACGATGGAAGGGAAGACCACATTTACAGTAGCAATAAAAGATGAGCTTACTAGAAATAAGCTTAATAGGAAATGTACAAGCATTATAGAAAATGTAAAAATACCATTGAGGGCCCCTCAAAGAAGACTTGAGCCTAGGGAAGGTAAGATTGGTTCTTGAAGAGGAAGTCAACCTCATAAAAATGTCAATTATCCTAAGTTAATTTACATATTTACTGTGATCTGAGTAAAAACACCAAAATGAATTTTTTCTTGAACTAGATAAGGCCGAGTGTAGTCATATGGAAAAACAAACAGGTGTGAAAAGCCAGCTGAAGTCTGAAAAAGAAAAATGAGGATAGGAGAATCTGTCCCATAAATATCAAATATATTTAAAAACTATGGATTTAGGACAGTGTGGCAATGGGACATGAGTAAACCCATCTTGATGTCCATGCAAATATGCTTCTCCTCCGTTCTTCCCCACTTGAGACAATAAAGCACCTCCATCCACCCAATTACGGCATCTTTGACATACCCCTTTTCTTCGAAAATAAAGTACCTCCATCAACCCAATTGTTCATTTCAGAAACATACAGCATCTTTGACACACCCCGTTTCTTCACCGTTTATTAGACATTTCATTACTACATTGTGCACATTCTATCTGCAAAATACCTCTAAATATTGCCCGTATCTTTCCAAATCACTTGCAACCATCATAGTCTGGTCAGTATGCCTGCTCACCTCTGCAGAAGCCTCTCCTCTTGCTTCATTCCACTTCCCAGCCATTCTCCACATGGTCAGAGATGGTTTTAAAAGATAGATCTGATCACATCACTGTCCTACTTCCAACCCTTCCCTTGCACTTAAGACAAAATCTAAAAGAGCTGGGAGAGCCCTAAAGCCTTTGACTTTCTTTTTCCTTCCACCAAAGCCTCCTCGCTGGCATAGTCCCCCTTGCTCCTGTGCTCTGGCCACGCTCTTTTCCCTCCTTCAGCTTGTCGAGCCCTTCCCCCTCCAGGCCTTCACTGGGAACATTCTTCACATGGCTAACACTTGATCATTGTTTTCTTTCTTTCCTTTATTTATTTATTTTTTTTCTGAGATGGAGTCTCGCTCTGTCTCCCAGGCTGGAGTGCAGTGGCGCGATCTCAGCTCACTGCAATCTCATCCTCCCGGGTTCAAGCGATTCTCCTGCCTCAGCCTCCCAAGTAGCTGGGATTACAGGCATGCACCACTACATCTAGCTAATTTTTGTATTTTTAGTAGAGACAGGGTTTTGCCATGTTGGCCAGGCTGGTCTCTAACTCCTGACTCCAGGTGATCCGCCCGCCTCAGCCTCCCAAAGTGCTGAGATTACAGGCTTGAGCCACTGCGCCAGGCCCATTGTTTTCTTTTTAAACAAACTTTTAGTTTTGAGGTGATGCTAGATTCACCCGTGGTCACAAGAAGAAACATGGAGAGTTCTCTTGCACACTTTCCCCAGCTCCTCCCAGTGATAACACCTTGCGTAGCTACAGCACAGTGTCACAACTGCAAATTGGTACGTATGCAATTCATGACATTCAGGTTCCAACAACTTTACAAGTGCTGGGTGTGTGGGGGTGTGTGGATTTAGTTTTATGTAATTTTATCATACAAATAGATTCATGTGAACACCATCATGGTCAAGCTACAAGGCAGGAATCCAGCACCAGCATCTCTCAGTCTACCCTATTACAGCCACCAGCACCTCCCCACTCCCTCCCTCAGAATTTTAAAAATGAACCTTAAACATCATTTACTCAAAAAAAAAACTTCCTTGATCATCTAGGCTACATTTTCCTCTCATCATAATGCCCCCAATTTCTTCTTTATGTCTTCTTATCACAATTTTGAGTTAGGAGTAATGGGTTTAATGCCCTTGAAATGTCTCTCGACTTAGGTTTCCTCATTGGTAAGCAGTTTTTCTATCCTTGATGCCCTCTACTCTGTTTCCAATGAAAGGGAGAGGGCAGGTACTACTTTAAAACAAGGAGGGGCTGGGGATGGTGGCTCACACCTGTAATCCTAGCACTTTGGAAGGCCAAAGTGGGAAGATCACTTGAGCTCAGAAGTTCAAGACCAGCCTGGGCAAACATAGGCAGACCTCATCTCTACAAGAAATTTAAAATATTAGCCAGTCGTGATGGTACATGTCTGTGGTCCCCACTACTTGGGAGGCTGAGGTAGGAGGATCGCCTGGGCCTGGGAGGGTGGGGCTGCAGAGAACCATGGTAACGCCACTGCACTCCAGCCTGGGCAACAGAGCAAGACCCATTCTGAAAATTAATTAATTAAAAATAAATAAATAAATAAAAGGAGGAGACTATAACATAGAAGTGTCTTGACCTGATAGAAAGGAAAAGGTGAGAAATCAGTGTTTATACTTCAGTGTCTGTGGGGGAAGGAGGAGGACAGAGGAGATAGAAGCTTGCAGAGATGCCTGTGTTGTGGCCTCCTGTTCTGGGCTGAGTCAAAGAGTGAAGAAGAAGGTTACACAGAAGGAAGTAGACAGCACACGGAAGGTTGTCCTGTTTCCAACCTGGGACTCTGAATAGAGACCTCTTTGCTGAACTTGGGGCAACTGCAGAGTCCGACAAAGTGAGCCTCTGTGAGGCCTCTTGCGTCATTCGGGGCCCCCTCTGTGCCATAGAACCGGCTCACAAATCCCCATTGTCTCCTGTGACAGGGAGACGGCAGTTTCTGAGACCGTACAGGGAGCTGGCCAGAGAAAAAGGTCCATGTGGAGACTGAGGTGAATGACATCGGGGCCTAGGGCTAAAGCCAGGCTGGTCAAGCCAGGAATGGAAATGAAGTTCTACAGCCAGAGCAGGTGTCAGGTTCAGCCAAACCGACGGGAGGAACCCCGGGCCGAGAGGCGCACGTTCTGTGTTGCCCCATCTCAGACATCGGCTCCTGATAGCAACCCCACTGCTAACCTTGCTAATCCTGCTAACCTCACTAATCCCGCCCAGACCAGCCCACTCGGGGACTGGAGCCCGTTTAGCTCCATCTTTCCACACTACATGGTCACACAAGCCTCCTACACACCCACAGGCCATTTTGGACATAAATCGATAGAAGATGAGGAAACCTGAAAAATGGATTTGTCCAAAAGCAACTGAATTTGAAGGGCTGGATTAGCCTGCATTTAACAGATTGAAATGAGTTTTTTAAATTTCCTCTAGGAAAGCCGGCAGGTGGCTTTGAGGAAGATTAGATGAGGTTTGGAAAACATGGGGCCTCTTTTTCTTTCCATAGCTGAGTACAGTGTGGGTAAATTTGCAACCCTGTGACATATATATTTGTTGATAGGATTATTTATTTAAAATCTACTTATTCTATTGGACTATAAGCTCCACGGGGGGGAAATATTTTGTTGTTGTTGTTATTGCAATATCTGCAGTGCTCAGCACATGGTAGGCACTCAAATATTATTTATTACAAAAATTAATAAATGCCTATAGATTCAGCTCTTCACTTCATTAATGATTCACCCAAGATAAAAGGTTTCATTGGCTTAACTTTCAATAAAAAGCTGGTCAAGGCCAGGACTCGTTATTATGTTACGCATAAAACATAAATGGCTCAGTGGCTTTCCCCCAGAGTACAGGGCACTGCCACTAGCTCATTAGATACTCTGAGAAAGGAATTGAACCTCTTTGGTGGGGAAGGGAGGTGGGAGTCTCTATATTTTTCTCTCCATAGGAAGAAAGAAGGACTGACACTCCCAACTTCACTGGTAAATGAAGAGTAACTAATAAATACAATTATGGAACTTGCAGACTATGAAGACACGTGTACCAAAAAAACAAACTCCTCCAGAACTAAAACGCTTTCTACTCACATAAGTTATACTATTTCAAGACATCCTCCTAAGGCTGTGCTGGGGAATCCTGAGCCCGATCTTCAGCTGAGTTCAGTAAGTCATGTGTGCCACGGGAGGGGCAATTCATAGCTTGCAAAGAGTTGCCACACAAAAAGTGCAGCTCCGTAGGAAGTCAGCTGTGAGGGCGGGTTCCCTCCTTAGGAGAAATGATGTGGACCACAAACTAGCAACCCCTTCGAGCAGCTCGCCTCTGCTTGAAAGAGAAAAATCACAAACCACCCCAAGGCCGTGAGAACAAATGGACCTCTGCTGTGACCTTAGTGCTGGCACTTTTAGTAGTTTTGTACCATGAATGACACAGACATTATTTACTACAAGTGCTGAGGTGCCAATCCAAGTTATTTCTGGCCTTAACCTCTTGCTTTTTTCCCCATGAGTGTGTGGCTGTATTACACAGGTGAGGACTTTTTACCAATGAGAATAAGTCCTTTTTTTTTTAATTTAAAGATTTGGCAATAGGTGTTTATCTCACAGGTGACTTCTCAGAGATCAATTATTTCCATAGTTGTGCTTTTGGTCCTGGAATAGAGTGAGGTTGGATTTTAATTAAATAATTAATCGATATGTTTTTAACATGCTCATATGCCAGGGACTGTGTCCATTCATGAGCAAAATGAAGAAGCCCAGATCTCTTCCAGCTTAGTCACACCTCTTGCTTGCAGGTAATGGAAACTCACTCAAATTAACTTAAACAAAAAGAAAGGAATGGAGTGGAAGGATGCAGGAATATCCATGTACAAGAAATTGGACTTCCCATGGGACTGGAACCAGGACCTGGAAAGCCAGGGAAAGTTCATCTGTTTCTTTTTGGAAGTTTTTGGTTCCTTCTCTCTGCTTCTCTCTGAGCATCTATTTGATTTTTCTCTCCATAGTCTCACTTTCTTTGTTTTTAGAAGAAAATGTCTCTTTCAGTCTTCTACATATTCTCTTGCTTCTAGTACTGCCAATCACTAGAAATCTCTTTGTTCCAACTGCAAATTCTCAGGAAAGAAAATTCCACTTGGCTCAGCCTAGCAGTCAATGAATTGGTTCTTCTAGGGTCAAGGGTGCACCCCTGTTCCATTGGGAATAGGCTATCTTGTCCATTGAAATTTGGTCAGGGAGACAGAAGCCACTCCATGTACGCAAGGGTGAAGGTTTTATCACGTGGAATAGGAGAGCTGCACAACTACTGCAAGGAGTGAAGGCAGGATACCATGGAATACTATGCAGCCATAAAAAAGGATGAGTTCATGTCCTTTATAGAGACATGGATGAAGCTGGAAACCATCATTCTCAGCAAACTATCGTTAAGGACAAAAAACCAAACACCACATGTTCTCACTCATAGGTGGGAATTGAACAATGAGAACACTTGGACGCAGGAAGGGGAACATCACACACCGGGGCCTGTCGTGGGGTGGGGGGAGGGGGTAGGGATAGCATCAGGAGATATACCTAATGTAAATGATGAGTTAATGGGCAGCACACCAACATGGCACATGTATACATATGTAACAAACCTGCACATTGTGTACATGTACCCTAGAATTTAAAGTATTAAAAAAAGGCGCCCCCTTGTCTCTCACTTGCTGTGTTTTCCCCTCTTTTCCCGGGCGTCCTCCACCTGTATCCCAGGCCCCCCAAGCAGCGAGCCCCGGTGCCCCCCACCTTTACCCCTCCTCCCCGGTGCCCAGGGCCCAGGAGGGAGATTGATGCGGGGTGCTTATTAAAAAACATTGTAGCCCTCTCCCTCTCCCTCTCCCTCACCCTCTCCCTCTCCCTCTCCCTCTCCCTCTTTCCACGGTCTCCCTCTCCCTCTCTTCCCACGGTCTCCCTCTCCCTCTCTTTCCATGGTCTCCCTCTGATGCCGAGCCGAAGCTGGACTGTACTGCTGCCATCTCGGCTCACTGCAACCTCCCTGCCTGATTCTCCTGCCTCAGCCTGCCGAGTGCCTGCGATTGCAGGCGCGCGCCACCACGCCTGACTGGTTTTCGTATTTTTCTGGTGGAGACGGGGTTTCGCTGTGTTGGCCTGGCCGGTCTCCAGCTCCTAACTGCGAGTGATCCGCCAGCCTCGGCCTCCCGAGGTGCTGGGATTGCAGACGGAGTCTCGTTCACTCAGTGCTCAATGGTGCCCAGGCTGGAGTGCAGTGGCGTGATCTCGGCTCGCTACAACCTCCACCTCCCAGCCGCCTGCCTTGGCCTCCCAAAGTGCCGAGATTGCAGCCTCTGCCCGGCCGCCACCCCGTCTGGGAAGTGAGGAGCGTCTCTGCCTGGCCGCCCATCGTCTGGGATGTGAGGAGCCCCTCTGCCTGGCTGCCCAGTCTGGAAAGTGAGGAGCGTCTCTGCCCAGCCGCCATCCCATCTAGGAAGTGAGGAGCGCCTCTTCCTGGCCGCCATCACATCTAGGAAGTGAGGAGCGTCTCTGCCCGGCTGCCCATCGTCTGAGATGTGGGGAGCGCCTCTGCCCCGCCGCCCCATCTGGGATGTGAGGAGCGCCTCTGCCCAGCTGCGACCCCGTCTGGGAGGTGAGGAGCGTCTCTGCCCGGCCGCCCCGTCTGAGAAGTGAGGAGACCCTCTGCCTGGCAACTGCCCCATCTGAGAAGTGAGGAGCCCCTCCGCCCGGCAGCCGCCCCGTCTGAGAAGTGAGGAGCCCCTCCACCCGGCAGCCACCCCGTCCGGGAGGGAGGTGGGGGGGTCAGCCCCCCGCCCGGCCAGCCGCCCTGTCCGGGAGGTGAGGGGCGCCTCTGCCCGGCCACCCCTACTGGGAAGTGAGGAGCCCCTCTGCCAGGCCACCACCCCGTCTGGGAGGTGTACCCAACAGCTCATTGAGAACGGGCCATGATGACAATGGCGGTTTTGTGGAATAGAAAGGGGGGAAAGGTGGGGAAAAGATTGAGAAATCGGATGGTTGCAGTGTCTGTGTAGGAAGAAGTAGACATGGGAGACTTTTCATTTTGTTCTGTACTAAGAAAAATTCTTCTGCCTTGGGAAAAAAAAAAAAAAAAACAAACAAACATTGTAACCGCAGGGCGCAGTGTCTCACGCCTGTCATCCCGGCACTCTGGGAGGCCGAGGCGGGTGGATCACAAGGTCAGGAAATCCAGACCATCCTGGCTAACACAGTGAAACCCAGTCTCTACTAAAAGTACGAAGATTAGCCGGGCGTGGTGGCGGGCGCCTGTGGTCCCGGCTACTTGGGAGGCTGAGGCAGGAGAATGGTGTGAACCCTGGAGGCGGAGCTTGCAGTGAGCCGAGATCGCGCCACTGCACTCCAGCCTGGGCGACAGAGCGAGACTCCATCTCAAAAAAAAAAAAGAAAAAAAAAAAAGAAAGTATTAAAAAAAAAAAAGGTACTGCTCTGGGAAAGAAAAAAAAAAGAGTGAAGGCAGGATAATCAGGCAAACAATTGCCCATCATCCCAGCCTGCACAGTCAAGCCGGTGACTTTCAAGAACTCACCCTAAAACCATTGTGAATCTCAAGAACTTCAGTGTTATTCTCCCAACTTATCTCAGCTTGCAACAGGGTGATTCTCAGGACGTTCACCAAGGAGCTGCTGCAATGATCAAGAACTGCCTGGCAGCTCCCCTCTGTATTATCCTACAGCACAGATGAGTGATTCTCAGAAGTGGTCATCAGCTCTCTCAGCTGCCGGTACCCCCAGACTGGGTGGTCCACAGGAGCATCCCCAGAAACTGCTGCAACCTTCACATCTGCCTGTAAATGCCTCCAGACAATAATCCCTTCTCCTCATCTGTCTGCTAAGTCTCATGAGTGCCCTTTTTCTATTTTTCTTTTTTTTTTTTTTTTGAGACAGGGTCTCACTTTGTCATCCAGGCTGGAGTGCAGTGGTGCAATCTTGGCTCACTGTAGCCTCGACCTCCCAGGTTTAAACAATCCTCCCACCTCAGCCCCCCCAAGTAGCTGGGACTACAAGCACATGCCAGCACACCCGGCTAATTTTTTAATTTTTTGTAGAGATGGGGTTTTGCCATGTTAGCCAGGCTGGTCTCAAACTCCTGAGCTCAAGCAATCCACCTGCCTCAGCCTCCCAAAGTGCTAGGATTACAGGCGTGAGCCACTGCACCTGGCCACTCATGAGTACCTCTTAATGGAAAATTCCAATCAGAATCCTGTGCGGAGGGGCGTTCTGGCAAATACTGTTCTGGGTTTCTCTTGTATGATGTAGAGGAGATGATAGACAAGCACACTGGTGGGAAGAACTGAAAACAAACAATTGGTATAGCCTGGAGCCCCAGAAATGCAGGACCACAGTGCAAACCTGGCTACAGAGCCCTCAAAAGTGAGTATTCACATATGTGTACATGCACATATGTGTATAGGGAGTACTGACAGGTATGGGACAGACAGGTCTCAAGGAGAAACTGGGGCACAGTCTGGGCATTACTTACAACTGGAAAATGGCAGATTTCTCAAACTTCCTCCCTCATCCTTTCCTACACAATCTGAGCCACACAAGCAAGCTGAGCTTTCCTTTGGGTGGCTCTCTCCTCCTGAGCTTTCCTCCTCCTCCTTCTGGCAATAATGTGACGAATTTTCTCTGGTGGGGAAGCCTCGATTACCCCTTCCACAGTCATGTGAGCCAGGACTCTCCATCCAACTCCCAGCCCCAGTCTGGGGGCTCAGTGACTGATAAGGCAATGGGCCTAGATCCAAGTGCAGCAGATCAGAGTTCTCCCTGAGAGGGACTATGGAGGATTGCAAAATTCCTTGAACGTGAGGCCTGGATTCATGCTCTTCTCATAAAGAGAGCCTTGCCAAGACACGGAGAGAAACACAGAGCCCTGATGACCTCTTTGGTGTCCCTCAATTCAACTATATCTGAGGCCATTAATTCTGGGCTTTTTAATTACATGAGTTAATAAGTTCTCCATTTTGCTTAAGTCAGTTTGAGTTGAATGCCTCAACATTCCAACTACTGCATAAACAGAGTTAAATCTGCTCCAAATTGTTCCTCTGCTGGTGTGTTCTCTAGGCCTGTTCCCCTACCCCATCTCTCTCGCTCTCTCTTTCTTTTTTTTTTCTTTTTTGAGATGGAGTCTCGCTCTGTCACCAAGGCTGGAGTGCAATGGCATGATCTTGGCCCACTGCAACCTCTGACACCCGGGTTCAAGTGATTCTCCTGCATCAGCCTCCCAAGTAGCTGGGACTACAGGTGTGTGCAACCACACCCGGCTAACTTTTGTATTTTTTTAGTAGAGATGGGGTTTCACTCTGTTGGCCAGGCTGGTCTCAAACTCCTGACCTCAGGTGATCTGCCCGCCTCAACCTCCCAAAGTGCTGGGATTACAGGCATGAGCCACAGTGCCTGGCCCCCATCTCTATCTGTTGAAATCTCACTCACCCTTATGACCAAGCCAAGCTTCACCTTTCCAAGAGACATGTGGCTGTGGGTACCTTATTACCTCTGCACCCTCTGTTCTGCATGAGCGGCCCCATGCATTTCCATACACAATGCGAACAGTGTAACATGCCAGAAGGCAAGATCTCATACATCTTTATGTTTCCTGATGGCCTAACTGGATTATCGCATAAAGTATCTCCTAGCTAAACATTGTTGGATTAGAAAATGCCTGAAATCAACAACAAAAAGTCAGACAACTCAATTCCAACTTAGGCAATGGACTTGAATAAACATTTCTTCAAAAAAGACATACAAATGGACATAAATGAAAAGATGCTCAACATTGTTAGTCATTAGGGAAATGCAATCAAACCCACAGTGACATATCACTTTAGATCCATTAGGATGGCTACTATCAAAAATACAGAAAACAAAGCCTGGGCATGGTGGTTCATACCTGCAATCCCAGTGCTTTGGGAGGCCGAGGCAGGAGGATCGCCTAACGCCAGGAGTTCAAGACCAGCCTGAGCAACATAGTGATACCCCATCTCTATAAATAAAAATAAAAATTAGCTGGCATGGTGGCATACACATGTGATCCCAGCTACTTGGGAGGTTGAGGCAGGAGGATTGCTTCAGCCCAGGACTTTGAGGTGGCAGTGAGTTATGATCAAGCCACTGCACTCCAGCCTGTACAACACAGTAACACCCTGCCCCCTTCTCCAAAATACGGAAAACAACAAATACATACATGTACTATATACCCACAAAAATTAAAATTAAAAAACACAAAACAAAAATACAGAAAACAAGTATTGGTGAGGATGTGGAGGAACTGGAACTCTGGCACACTCTTGATGGTGCAACTGCTGTGGAAAAGAGTATGGCAGGTCCTCAAAATGTTAAACAGAATTACCATCTGATCCATCAGTTCCTCTTCTAAGAATATACCCCCTCAGAATGGAAAGCAGTGTCTCAAACAGATGCTTATATGCCATGTTCATAGTAGCATTATTCAAAGTAGCCAAAAGGGGCCGGGCGCAGTGGCTCCACCTGTAATCCCAGCCCTTTGGGAAGCTGAGGCGGGAAGATCACTTAAAGTCAGGAGTTCGAGACCAGCCTGGCCAACATAGTGAAACCCTGTCTCTACCGAAAATATAAAAAATTAGCTGGGTGTGGTGGTGCACGCTTGTAATCCCAGCTACTCGGGAGGCTGAGGCAGGGAAATCGCTTGAACCCAGGAGGCAGAGGTTGCAGTGAGCCAAGATCGCTCCATTGCACTCCAGCCTGGGTGACAAGAGCAAGATTGTCTCAAAATAAATAAATAAATAAATAAATAAATAAATAAATAAATAAATAAAACAAAGTAGCCAAAAGGTGGAAATAACCCAAGTGTTCATCAACAAATGAATGGATAAACAAAATGTGGTGTATCTACATAATGGAATATTATTTATCCTCAAAAAGGAAGAAAATTCTGACGTAGGCTACAATGTAGATGGCACTTGACGACATTACGCTGAGTGAAATAAGACAGTCACAAAAGGATAAATGCCGTATGATTCCACTTATACGAGGTGCCTAGAGGAGTCAGATGCATTGAAACCAAGAGCAGAACGGCGCTTTCCAGGGGCGAGGGGTGGGGGGTTGGGGAGTTAGTGCTTAATGGGTGTGGGGTTTCAGTTTGCGAAAATGAAAAAGTTCTGCAGATGGATGGTGATGACGGTAGCACAGCACTGAGAATGCACTTACTGCCACTGAAGTGCACACTTAAAAATGGTTAAAACGGTAAATGTTATGTTATATGTATTTTACCGCAATAAAAAATGCCTTCAATTTTTTATAGAATTTTAAACTTACGGAGTCTTCTCTATCCTATATCTCATCTGTTCCCCACAACAACCAGGTGAGCATGGATGTAACTTACCTCATCCTAAAGATGAGGGTATTGAGGTTCAAAGATTTATGCCGTGTCCAAAGCTAGTATATTGTGAAGCAGGGCTTCTTATCCTCCATCCAGGGCTTTTTCTGGATTATCATTTGGTAAGTTTAAAGGGAGTCCATGAGCCAGAGCCTACACACGTCGTTTCCAGAAGGGCCGTCGTGGGTCTATATGGGCCTCCTAAAGTCCCTAATGTCCGCGAGGACAGCGTGCTCACACCCTGGAACAGCTTTGCTTGGTGTTCCCAGGGTGCCAGGTGTTATGGGCTGAATGTTGTGTCCTCCCCAGATGCATCTGTTGACATCTTAAGCCCCAGTGTGGTTTTATGTGGAGAAGAGGCCCCTAAGGAAATAATCAAGGTTAAATGAGGTCATAAGGGTGAATCCCTAATCTGATAGGATTGACGTCCTTAGACACCAGAGAGCTCACTTGCTCTCTCACAAAGAAGAGGTCTTGCGAGCTCACAGCCAGATGCCGGCCACCTACACACAAGTGGAGAGGAGAGGCCTCAGAATGATCCTACTGTGCCAACACTTTGATCTTGGACTTCCCAGGTTCTGGAACTATGAGAAAATTGGTTTCTGCTGTTTAGGCCACCCATCTCTGGTATTGCATTATGGCAGCCCAAGCCAACTAGTACACCAAGTTAATTAAAGCAATAGGATCCAGAGTGCTGTTTCTCCCATATTCCTAGAAAACATGCCCAAGGGGCTGGGCACGGTGGCTCACGCTTGTAATCCCAGCACTTTGGGAGGCCAAGGTGGGCGGATCACGAGGTCAGGAGATCGAGACCATCCTGGCTAACACGATGAAACCCCATCTCTACTAAAAATACAAAAAATTAGCCAGGTGTGGTGGTGGGCACCTGTAGTCCCAGCTGCTCTGGAGGCTGAGGCAGGAGAATGGCGTGACCCTGGGAGGCAGAGCTTGCAGTGGGCCAAGATGGTGCCACTGCACTCCAGCCTGGGCAACAGAGCAAGACTCTGTCTCAAAAAAAGAAAAAAAAGAAAAAGAAAATATGCCCAAGGAAATCAAGTGGGAAAAAGTTCCTAGCGGCCTCCCTCTTGGCGACCTCCAGCTCTCCTGTACAGGACGTAGCTCCATGTGCTGGCTGAGACATTGGTACCAGCTGTTCTAACATCAAAGCCCCTCCTCCTGCAGAAAGACAATCACATGCTCTGGAGGCAACTTGGCCTCCCACATCCTCTTTACCTGAGCTCTGTCTGAGGATTGTTAGTCTCCTGGCCCAGCTTCACCTGAGAAACCCTGGGCTGCTTGGCTGAGGCTGCAGGCAGCTTGGCTCTCGTGCTGGCAGCAGATTTTCTTCCTCAGTGGGTGCCACTCAGCACTCACATGGTGTGAGCGGAGCCCACCCTGCCTAGGCTGTCATTGTCACATTCCAGCACTCCTTGAATGTGGAGCACTCCCTTGCAGCACAGTTGTGGGCCACATGGGAAAACCACCAATGAAAACAATGAACAGCACAGTTATTTTTCTTGAGTCATCGTGTTATTGAGAAGCGTGGGCTCCAGGTGAGTTCCAAGTTTACCATTAACAGAAAGAAATGAGACTTGGCATGGACCGAGCACCTACCATGTGCCAGGGAGTGAGCTAGGCCTTTCCCAAAGGATATTTAATCCTTTCAATAATCCTGCAAGAAAATTTTTAAAATTATTTTTCATTGTGGTAAAATTGGTCATTTTAACCATTTTTAAGTGTACTGTTCAGTGGCATTAAGTACATTGACAGTGTTGTGCCATCCGTACCATTCATCTTTAGAACTCACCTCATTTTGCAAAACTGACACTCTGTACCCATTAAATAATATCTCCTGGCCCAGTATTGTGGCTTACATCTGTAATTCCAGCACTTTGGGAGCCAAGGCAGGAGGGTTACTTGAGCCCAGGAGTTCGAGACCAGCCCTGGCAACATGAGAAAAATCCCCCCAAAAATATTAAGTAGCCACATGTGGTGGCTGTACAGGTACAACCAAGGACAGGATGGCTTGAGCCTGGGAGTTCAAAGCTACAATGAGCTACTATCAAGCCATTGCACTCCAGCCTGGGTGACAGAGTGAGACCCCATCTCTATAAAAAATAAAATAAAAAATTATCTGGGTGTGGTGGGCACACACCTGCAGACCCAGCTACTCAGAAGGCTGATGTTGGGAGCATCTCTTGAGCCCGGAAGTTCAAAGCTGCAGTGAGCTATGACTGCACTACTGTACCCCAGCCTGGGTAACACAGCAAGACCCCTTCTCAAATAATAATGATAAAAACTCCTCGTTTTCCTCTTACCCCAGCCGCTGGCAACTACCATTCTACTTTTGGTCCCTATGAATTTGACTACTCTAGGTATTTCATATAAGTGGAGTGATATAGTATTTGTCCTCTTATGACCGACTTATTTCACTTAGCATAATGTCTTCAAGTTTCATCCATGCTATAGCAAGTGTCTGAATTTCCTTCCTTTTTAAGTCTGAATAATATTTTATTGTGTGTATAGACGACATTATTTTTGTCCATTAATCCATCAGTGGACACTTCGGTTGCTTCCACCTTTTGGCCATTGTGAATAATACTGCTATGAGCATTGGTGTACAGTTGGCCTCTGTACCCATGGGTTCTGCATCTGTGGACTCAAGCAACCTAGGATCAAAAATATTCTTTCAGCCGGGCACGATGGCTCATGCAAGTAATCCCAGCACTTTGGGAGGCTGAGGCAGGTGGATCACCTGAGGTGAGGAGTTTGAGACCAGCCTGGCCAACATGGCGAAACCCCGTCTCTACTAAAAAAAAAAAAACAAAAATTAGCCAGGAGTGGTGGGGGTCGCCTGTAATCCCAGCTACTCGGGAGGCTGAGCCAGGAGAATTGCTTGAACTTAGGAGGTGGAGGTTGCAGTGAGCCGAGATCGTTCCATTGTACTCCAGCCTGGGTGACAAGAGCGAAACTCCATCTTAAAATAAAAAATTATATATATGTGTGTGTGTGTGTGTGTGTTCTTTAAAAAAATGGATGGTTGTGTCTGTACTGAACATGTACAGACTTTATTTTTTGTTACCATTTCTTAAACAATACAGTCTAACAACTATTTACATAGCATTTACATAGTATTAGGTATTATAAGTAATCTAGAGATAACTTAGAGTATATGAGAGGATGTGCATAGGTTATATGCAAATACTGTGCAATTTTATATCTGGGACTTGAGCATCTGTGAATTTTGGTATCCTCAAGGGGGTCCTGGAAGTGCTGGAAGATATGGTAAATTTATGTTTAATTTTTTGAGAAACCACCATACCGTTTCCATAGTGGCTGCATCATTTAAAATTCCCACCAACAGCGCACCAGAGTTCCAATTAATCCGCATCCTCACCGATGCTTGTTATTTTCTGAGGTTTTGTTTTTATATAGTATCCAACCTAATGGGTATGAGGTGGCATCTCATTGTGGTTTTGGTTTGCATTTCCCGAATGATTATTGATATTGAGCATTTTAAAAATTTCTGTATTGCTCATTTGTATATTTTCTTTGAAGAAATGTCTATTCAAGTCTATTGTGCATTTTTAAGTGAGTCTGGTATTTTTTGTTGGGTTGTAGGAATTCTTTATATATTCCAGATATTAACCCTTTGTCAGATATATGATTTGTAAGTATCGTCTCCCATGCCATTGATTGCCTTTTCATTCTGTTGATTGTGTCCTTTGATGCATAGAAGTTGTACATTTTAGTATAGTCCATTTTTTCTATTTTTTTCTTTTGTTGCTTATACTTTTGGTGTCATAGTCAAGAAATCATTGCTAAATCCAATGTCATGAAGCTGTTCCCCTATGTTTTTTTCTAGGAGTTTTATAGTTTTAGGTGTTATGTTTAGGCCTTTAATCCAATTTTGAGTTAATTTTTGTATATGTGGTAGAGTAAGGATCCAACTTCATTCTTTTGCATGTGGACATTCAGTTTTCTCAGCACCATTTGTTGAGAAGACAGTCCATTCCCCCTTTGAATGGTCTTGGCACCTCTGTTGAAAATCATCTGACCATCTATGTGAGGGTTTGTTTCTGAGCTCCCTGGTCTATTTTAGTTGTCTATAAGTTGATCTTTATGCAAGTGCTACACTATTTCGATTACTGTGTGGTAAATTTTGAAATTAGAAAATTTAAGACCTTCAACTTTGTTCTTTTTCAAGATTGTTTTGGCTATTTGGAGTCCCTTGAGTTTCCATATTAATTTTAGGATGAATTTTATTATGTCTGCAACAAAAACAACAACAAAATGTGGCCAGGCATGGTGGCTCATGCCTGTAATCCCAGCACTTTGGAAGGCCAAGGCAGGAGAATTTCTTGAAGCCAGGAGTTCAAAACTAGCCTGGGCAACATAGCAAGACTCCATCTCTACCAAAAAAAAAAAAAAAAATGCCGGATATGGTAGAGTCCAAGCCACAGGATGACTTGAGCCTGGAAGTCCAAGGCTGCAGTGAGCTATGATCAAGCCACTGCACTCTAGCCTGGGTGACAGAGTGATAACCTGTCTCAAAGAAAAAAGTTTTTAATGCCACTGGAATCATGATAGGGATTATTATTTAATCTGTAGATCACTTTGAGAAATACTGACATCTTAACAATATTGTCTTCCAAGTCATGGACCTATTTTTCCATTTATTGGTGCCTTTAATTCCTTTCAGCAATGTTTTGTAGCTTTCAGTGTACAAGTCTTCCTCCTCCTCCTTGGTTCAATTAATTCTTAAGTATTTCTGTCTTTGATCCTTTTGTAAATGGAATTGTTTTCTTAATTTCCCTTTTGGACTGTTCATTGTTAGTGCATAGAAATGCAGGTGATTTTTACATCTTTATTTTGTATCCTGCAACTTTGTGAATTTGTTTATTAGTGCTAACAGGTTTTTAGTGGAATCTTTAGGGCTTTCTACATAAAAGATCATGTTGTCTGTGAACAGAGATAATTTAAATTCCTTTCAATTCAGATGCTTTTCGTTTATTTTTCTTGTCTAATTGTCCTGGCTAGGAATTTCAGCACTATGTTAACTAGAAGTGATGAAAGTGAGTAAGCATCCCTGATTTGTTCCTGATCTTAAAGGAGAAGCCTTGCATACTTCACCATTGAGAATGATATTAGTTGTGGGCATGTCATATAAGGACTTTATCATGTTGAAGTAGTTTCCATCTCTTCCTACTTTATTTAGTGTTTTTATCATGAAAGGGTGTTGAATTTTGTCACATGCATGTTCTGCATCAATTGAGGTGATCACGTGGTTTTTTCCTCTTTATTTTGTTAATGTGGTATATTACACTGATCATTTTCATATGTTGAACCATCTTTACGTTCCAGGAATACATTCTACTTGCTCATGGTGTATAATCTTTTTAATGTATTGTTGAATTCTGTTTGCAAGTGTTTTCTTGAGGAATAATACCAATTATTACAGATAAAGAAATTGAACTCCAAAGAGGTTTCCCCAAGGTCACTCATTTAGTAAGTGGTAAGAGTTGGGGTTCAAACCTAAGCCTGTCTGATCCCAGAATCTGTGTCCTTTTCAATATACCATGCTGTCTTGTATCACCCCACAGAGGGATAAGGGAGCTAAGTGTGGCCTACTAGCTTTATGACTTTAGAAGAAAAAGAAAAATGTAGCCATGTCTGAACCTCAGTTTGCTTATCTGAAAATAGGGATCAAAATGCCAATTTTCCAGAGTTATTGTAATGTTTAGACAAGATAAGGAATGTAGCACCCCTGGAACATCATGAGCTTTTCAAAAACTGTGGCATGGGTGGCCTTCAGCCCCATGTTGGGCCTCCAACCTCCAATGAAAGTTGCTCTGTGACCTTGGACAGAGGCTTCATGTGCAGCCTTTTGGCCAAACCAGTTATTTCTTTACTCTGCTATAAATAGTTGAAAACATAAGGTCTTCAATAAGTTGTCCTGTGACTTTATTTCCTGGCCAACAGGGAGGTTTCCATTTCCTCTATGACTCATCTATTCCTTTTTGCAGCTCTCCTCTAAATACCTCCAGCCAGTGACATTTCAAATATCCTTGCCTCTTGGCTTCCCTTCAGCGGCCTCAACTCATGTCCAGAATTCTTTCTCTTCCTTTTCTTCTTTTTACTTTTGCAAGCTTGGTGACCAGAGCTTGGCTGGCTGAGATACCTAGTGTTCATAGGAGAATTTCCTTCCCTTCAATGGAACATCCCCCTGCAGACCGTTTCTGGGCCCGGTGTGTAGACAGACTTCATAATGGTGATGAGATTTCCCAAACAGCCTAAGGGGAAGAAAAGGAAGAAGAGAATGGCAAATTCCCCAGTCCTACTCTTGGCTTTCTGGGTTACATGGTCTTCCATTTAACAAGAACTTATCCCTTTCCTGGGAAATGAGAAGTGCTATACAAAGCACGAATTCTGAGGATGCCCTCACACTATTGCTTTGGGAACTGTGTGCTGTGTGCTGACCACAGGGAGCAAATCGTGAGTTTCTCTACAAGGGCTGCAGTCAGAACTGCTAGTAAACTGTACTTCATATGAAGTACATCACAGACAACTGGGCTCCAAGAGCTAAAGTTTACTTACTGCTTTTCACCCCAAAGGCCCAAAGCCCTCACTAAAGCTATGAATACCAGAATCACTACATCTTTGAAACACAGCCAGAGTTCTAGGCCTTGCTTAAATAGCCCGGAGCCTGTACATACAAGGCATGTGTGTGTGGTGAAAGAGGCCCTTATGGATTTGCCGCTGCTGGAGGCCAAAGAGAAGGGTGAGTGGAATGTACTGGAATGTCTGGCAAACAGCAGAGGCAGATTCTGCGGCTAAGCTGCTTGGTGGGCCCTGTGGGGTTGAGTTTTAATCTCTGTCACATGTGGGACTGTAGGATACCTGCCCGCCCAGCCTCTGTAGCTGCCTCCACAGCCAGAAGAATTTGGCTTGGAAACAGGGACTCCCTTTGGCGAGATCTAGATCCAGAGAGAATTCAGAGTGTGTATTCTCTGGCCCCCTTGAAGTTTGGGCATTCATACCACTGGTGTTTGCCCTGGCACCCTCCCAAGCTTGAGAGAGGCTTCTCTCCCTCCTAGACCACATCCCAGCCTCCCCCTTGTGTTCAGCAATGTGAGTGATGTGAATGTCTTGAGCAAGGTCATAGGGCCAGCATTTCCTCTTGCTTACTCATCTATCACTAATTCATTCACTCATTCAATTACAGTTTTGAGGACCTACTATGTATAACACACTGCTAGGCTCTGAGGATAGAACAGTGTGCAAGACCGACATGGTCTTCACCCTTAACACTGTGCTTTCTGGCCAGGGAGCAAACCACAGAAAAGTAAATAAACAGAAGGTGAGAGAATTGCAGATTGTGAAAAGTTCTTTCAGGAAAGGAAAAGAACCAGGGAAAATAGCAGTAAAGAGGAAGGACTGTGACACTTACATTGGTGGTCAGAGAAAGCTGCCCCAGCAGCCAGGTGGGTGATGTGCGTGGGTGGGGTGGGTGTGGGGAGCATTCTGGGAAGCAGGAACAAGTACAAGGGCAGAAGTTTGGAAAGGGCTTAGTGTATTCTGGGAGCAGCAAGGAGGCCAGAAGGGCTGGAGCCAATGAGCAAAGGGAAGAACATGAGATGGAGAGTCAGCAAGGGCTATGTCCTCACAGGATGTGACGCCCCTGGTAGGAAGCTGTTTGTTAGAAGATCAAGGGGAAGCAATCGAAGAAATTGAAGCAGTGATTAAGAAGGATAGTTTTGTGTGTGTGTGTGTGTGTGTGTGTGTGTGTGTGTGTGTGTATGTGTGTGTATTTTAAATCACTGTAGATCCAGGAATCCCATTACTGGGTATATATCCAAAGGAAATGAAATCAGCACTTCAAAGAGACGTCTGTACCTTCGTGTTTTTTGCAGCATTATTCACCATAGCCAAGAGATGGGAATCAACCTAACTGTCCATCAGATGAATAAAGAAAATATGGTATGAATAAAAGAAGAACAGATGAATAGATAAGATGAACAGATGGGCCGGGCATGGTGGCTCACGCCTGTAATCCCAGCACTTTGGGAGGCCGAGACGGGTGGATCATGAGGTCAGGAGTTCGAGAACAGCCTGGCCAACATGGTGAAACCCCATCTGTACTAAAAATACAAAAATTAACTGGGTGTGGTGGCGCACGCCTGTAATCCCAGCTACTCAGAAGGCTGAGGCAGGAGAACTGCTTGAACTCGGGAGGCAGAGCTTGCAGTGAGCCGAAATTATGCCACTGCACTCCAGCCTGGGTGATAGAGCAAGACTCCATCTCAAAAAAAAAAAAAAAAAGAAAAGATGAGCAGATGAAGAGACGAATAGGTAAAGAAAGTGCAGAAGAAAATGAATAGATAAAGAAAAATGTATATATATATGCACACACAATACTATTCAGCCATAAAACAGAATGAAATCCTGTCATTTGCAGCAACATGGATGGAACTGGAAGCCATTATGTTGAGTGAAATAAGCCAGGCACAGAATGACAAACACTACATGATTTCACTCATATGTGGAATCAAAAACTGTTTATTTCATAGAAGTAGAGAGTGGAATAGTGGTTCCTAGAGGCTGGGGAGGGTCGCAGGGAGAAGGGGACTGGGAGTAGTTGATCAACAGGTGTAGAGTTAGAGTTAGATGGAAGAATAAGCTCTGGGGTTCTATTACACGGTATGATGACTAGTGACTACAGCAAGTAACAAAGTAGTGTGTATCTCAAGATAGCTAGAGGATAAGATTTTAAATGTTGTCACTACAAAGAAATGATAAGAGATTAAAGTGAATAATATGGTAATTACCCCAATCTGATCATTATACAACATATTCATGCATTGAAATATCACACTGTACCCTATAAAATGTACAATTGGTATGTGTCAAATATAAACAAAAATTAATTATAAAAAAGAATTTAAAATTGTAAAAATGTACTATAGCTGCCGAATGGAGAATGGATTAAGGGGGTAACAGTTAAAAAGGGAAGATTAGCAAAAGAGAGCATTGGGATTGTGCAGGGGAAAGAGGATGATAACCTGGACTAGAAGGGTGAGGGTGGAATTGGACTGATTAGAAATCAACTCAAGTAGAACCAATAGGACTTGGTGGTGAATTGGGACACAAGGGAAGAGTGAGACATCCAAGGTAAGTGCTGGGCATTTTACTTAAGCAACTGGGTAGTAGATGGTGCCACTTTCTGATATGGGAAAACCTAGGGGAAGGAATATGTCTTAGCAAAACAGTGACTAGGGACATGGCAGCTTTGGGGAAGAAAAATGGGATTCAAGTCATAGTGGCTTCCCCAGGTGGGTTCTTTACCCAACCCCACCCTTCCCTCCAGCCAGACAGAGTGTTTCCCTGTCCTTCAATGTACCTGGGCTAAGCTCTCCACCTTGAATGTGCTTCCCCTTCTTGCCCTCTCCTGAGAAGCCTCTTCCCTCCCTTCTTCACCACCCAGTGTACCTTCCCTGCACTGTCTCTCCCGAGTGAGGAGGAAACCTATAGGTCCTTATGCATGTTGGTGTTGCCTCCCCTTGCTTCTCAACCTTCAGCTCTCAGAACTCAGGCTAAACCATTCTGAGATCTGGCAGTGCAGGATGGAGAAGGAGGGAAAGAAACCAGGGCCAAGCTAACCCTATGTAGAAAAGGCTTCCAAAAGTACAATCACATGCAGAGTGGCTTAGGATCCCAATGGGTATGGAAAAGTCCAGCCCTAGAACTGAGGGATCCAAACCGGTTGATGAAGCCAAGGTCAAGATGCAGCATCCTTGTGGATCTGAGTGACAGTCTTATTGGGAAAAGGACACTAGCTATCAGCCACATGGACAGGGGATGGGGTCCAACCCCAGAGGAAGAGGAAAAGGGACAAGCAAGAGCTGAACGGAGCCTATAGCTAGCATCATTATCAATGGTGAAAATTTGAAAGCTTCTCCTGTAAATTCAGGAACAAGACAAAAATGTCCATTCTCACTACCTCTATTCAACACTGTACTGAAAGTCCTAGCCAGAGCAGTTAGACAAGAAAAAGAAATAAAAGGCATCCAAATTGGAAAGGAAGAAGTGAAATTATCTCTGTTTGCAGACAACGTGACTTTATATATAGAAAATCTTAAAGACTTCACCAAAAAACTGTTAGAACTAATAAACAAATTCAGTAAAATTGCAGGATACAAAATCAACATACAAAAATTAGTAGCATTTTTATACACAATAATCAACTACCTGAAAAACATACCAAGAAAAAAATCCCATTTACTATAGCATCAAAAATTAAAATATTTAGAATAAATTTAACCAAAGGCATAAAAAAATTATACACTGAAAACTATGAAGACACAAACAAATGGAAAGATATCCCATGTTCATGGATTGGAAGAATTAATGTCATTATAATGTCCCAAAGTGATCTACAGATTCAATACAATTCTTATCAAAATGCCATTTTTCACAGAAATAGAAAAAAATTCTAAAATTCATGTGGAATCACAAATGATCCCAAATAGCCAAAGAAAGCAATCTTTATCAAAAAGAACAAAGCTGGAGGCATCACACTATCTGCTCTCAAAATCTACTGCAATGATATAGTATCCAAAAAAAGAATGGTACTAGTACAAATACAGACATGTAGACCAAAGGAATAGAGGACCCAGAAATAAATCTATGCGTTTACAGTCAACTGATCTTTGAGAAAGGTACCAAGAACACACAATGGAGAAAGGACAGTGCTTTCAATAAATAGTGTTGGGAAAACCTGATATCCACATGCAGAGGAATAAAACTAGACTCTTATCTCACCCCATATACAAAAATCAACTCAAAATGGAATAAAGACTTAAATATAAGACTTGAAACTGTAAAACTACTAGAAGAAAATATTGGGAAAAGCTTCTTATCATTGGCCTGGGCAAATATTTTTCTGGATATGACCCCAAAAGCACAGGCAAGAAAAGCAAACATAGACAAATGGGACTGCATTAAACTAAAAAACTTCAGCATAGCAAAGGAAATAATCAACAGAGTGAAGAGACAGCCTACAGAATGAGAGAAAATATTTGTGAACCACATATTTGATGAAGGGTTAATATCCAAAATATATAAGGAACTCAAACAACTCAATAGCAAAATATAATAATAATAATAACCTCATTGTAAATGGGCAAATGATCTGAATAGACTTCTGTCAAAAGAAAACATATATATGGCCAACAAGTATATGAAAAAATGCCAAACATTACAATCATCAAGGAAATGCAAATCAAAACCACAATGAGATATCATCTTACTCCAGTTATAATGACTATTATCAAAAAGTCAAAAAAATAACAAATGTTAGCAAGGGTATGCAGAAAAGGAAACTCTTATGCACTGTTGGTGGGACTGTAAACTAGCACAGCCATTATGGAAAACAGTGTAGAGATTCCTCAAAAAACTAGAAATAGCCAGGTACAGTGGTTCACACCTGTAATCCTAGCACTTTGGAAGCCTGAGGCAGGAGGATTGCTTGAGGCCAGAAGCTGAAGATCCATCTAGGCAACATTGCAAGCCCCATTTAAAAAAAAAAAAAAAACTAAACTAAACTAAAAATAGAACTACCATATGATCCAGCCACACTCTGAGCATATATTCAAAGGAAATGAAATCAGTATGCTAAAGAAATATCTGCACTTCCACGGCCGGGCGTGGTGGCTCATGCCTGTAATCCTAGCACTTTGGGAGGCCGAGGCGGGCAGATCACCTGAGGTCGGGAGTTCGAGACTAGCCTGACCAAAATGGAGAAACCCCATCTCTATTAAAAATACAAAGTTAGCCGGGCATGGTGGCACATCCCTGTAATCCCATCTACTAGAGAGGCTGAGGCAGGAGAATCGCTTGAACCCGGGAGGCGGAGGTTGCAGTGAGCCAAGATCATGCCATTGCACTCCAGCCTGGGCAACAAGAGTGAAACTCTGTCTCAAAAAAAAGAAGAAAAGAAAAAAGAAATATCTGCACTTCCATGTTTATTGCAGCACTATACACAACAGCCAAGATATAGAATCAACCTGTGTCCATCTACAGATGAATGAATAAAGAAACTGTAGTACATATACACAATGGAATACTGGAAATGGAAATAAACCAGACACACAAAGATAAATCCTGCATGTTCTCATTCATATGTGGAAGCAAAAAAAAGTTGATATCATAGAAATAGAAAGTAGAATAGTGATTATTAAGGCTGGAAAGGGGAGAGGGGAGAGGGAACAGGGAGAGGTTGGTTAACGATTACAAAATTACAGGCCAGGTAGGAGGAATAAGTTCTAGTGTTCTATAGCACCAGAGAATGACTATAGTTAATAACAATTTATTGCATATTTGCAAATAGCTAGAAGAGAGGATTTTGAATGTTCCCAACACAAGGAAATGGTAAATGTCCGAGTTGATGGATTTGCTAATTACTTTCATTTATTACACATTGTACACAGGTATCAAAATAACATACTGCATCTTATAAATATGTACAATTATATGTCAACTAAAATTTTTAAATTAAAAATAAATAAATAAAAACACCAAGTACAAGAAAAAAAAGACATTCAAGTGGCCAATAGGCATATGAAAATGTTCAGTGTCGCTAATCGTCAGGAAAATACAAATTAAAACTAAAAAGATATCATCTTACACCTTTTCGATTGGCTATTAGCAAAAAGATAAGAAATAACATGATATGTTGAAAATGTGGAGAAAAGGGAATGCTTGCACACTGTTGGTGTGAATGTGAATTAGTACAGCCATTATGGAAAACTTCACGGAGGTTCCTCAAACAACTAAAAATGGAACTACCGTATCCAGCAATCCCACTTCTGGGTATATATCCAAAGCAAATGAAATTATTATGTTGAAGAGATAGCTGCACTCTCATGTTTATTACGGCATTATTCACAATAGCCAAATTACAAAATCAACCCAAGTGTCTATCAATGGATAAAGAAAATGTTGTACATATACATAATGGAATACTATTCAACTTTTAAAAAGAAGGAAATTCTGTCATTTTCAAAAACATGGATAAACATGGAGGACATTATGCTAAGTGAAATAAGCCAGGCACAGAAAGACAAATATTGCACGATATCATTTATATGTGGAATCTAAAAAAGTCAAATTCAAAAGCAGAGAGTAAATGGTGCTTGCCAGGAGCTGGGGGAGGGGAGTTTGGGGAGATACTGGTGTAAAAATACAAAATTTCAGTTAGATAGAAGGAATAAGTTCAAGGGTCTTTTATACAACCTGGTGATTATAGTTAATAACAATATATTATGTACTTGAAAATTGCTAAGAGAGTACATATTACATGTTTTTGCTACAAAAAAGGATAAGTATGTGATGGAATAGGTATGTTAATTAGCTTTATTCAGTTATTCTACATTGTATACATATATCAAAACATCATGTGTATATTTATACCATAAATATATGAAATTTTTATTTGCCAATTTAAAAAAATAAAAAACAAACTACAAAACAAAAGAGGTGGACAGAGAATTAGAGACTGGGGCCCAAGTCCAGATACAAAGACTGGGGCAGTGCAGCAGAAGACAGTGATGCGGTCTCCCCTGTCTGCCGTGGGTTCCATGTCCCAAGGCCACAATAAAGCCAGACTCTCCACCAGGTGTATTTAAGCTCTCTACACAGCAAAGGTTGCTGCCCAGGTGTTAGAAGGAGAACACCACACCAAAATGGCTTAAGCAGTGGCCACAAATAAGAATTCAGAGGCATCTCTCCCACCTAGCCAGACTGGGCTCCTCACTTTCCCACCGCTTCCTTTAAGGAGAACCTTGTGTTCTCCCAGTGTCCCAGAGAAAACCTGGCCAGGGACAGCCCCTGGTTCTTCAGATGGAAGGCATAAAGTCAATACACCATCACAATAGGAAACAAGTTCAAACATTTTCCTGGGCGGGAAGAGCACAATGATCAGGAGGGCAGCCTCCATCCCTGGGTCAGGGATCAAATGGACCATTCAGGCATTTTCCCAGGAACTTGACGTGACCCAGACCCTATTCCTTTACATATGGTGCTAGTTGCCATGCTCTCCCCTCACCCTGCCCACCGTCTCTTTCTCTCTTTCTACCTGACTCTTCATTCCTGCCTCTCCTGACCCAGGGATGGAGGCTGCCCTCCTGATCATTGTGCTCTTCCTGCCCAGGAAAATGTTTGAACTTGTTTCCTATTGTGATGGTGTGTTGACTTTATGCCTTCCATCTGAAGAACCAGGGGCTGTCCCCGGCTGGGTTTTCTCTGGGACACTGGGAGAACACAGGGTCAGGCTCCCAGCATGAGGGCAATAGTCAGGCATAAACTAGACACAGTTCAGACAAGAACCACAAGGGCATCTGCCAGTATAAACAAGTTCCCCAAGTGAGGGACCCCCCTGGTTGCAGGTTGAACTAGGCATTAGGCTATCCACCAGGTAAAAGAAGTATCCCTTGAAAGGCACATGGTAAATACCCATGTTCAGCTCCCTTTCATTTCCTGTTAGGGCAGATTGCTAGTTGCTCTGGGACCAGAAGCCCAGTTTAGCTGGGAGCTCTCAAAACACCACCTCACACCATCTATTGTTCCGGGCAGCAACTTCCTGTCATGGTCATAGCAACCATTTGAGGGAAACATGACCAGCAGTCTCATTTTATAGATGTGGACACTGAGACTCAGACAGGTTTTATAAATTTGCCTGGAGGTTCAAAGCTGGTATGTGGTAGAATTGGGAAAGAATCCCAGGCATGTCACAGTTCAGAATCCACCCTCTCCACCATAGAGCCTCGCCTTGACTGAGCTTAGCTCAAAGCCCACTGGGTAGGTTGACGCTCATGGGGGCCTTGGGAACAGTTGAGCCAGGCAGCAGGCAACTCACCCTTCAACCTGCTCCATGGTCTTGGCACAATCTCTGCCCAGTTCCTTCTTCTGTGGTCTGCAGTGGGGGAGCCTATCAAAGCCCTGGGTCCTCCAACTCCTAGATCCTATCTACTGCCTTATAGCATAGAAAGCATACGCCAAGCACTTCGATAAGACTGCAGGACAAATTCCCACCCCAGAACCATCTCCCATGAGGCACGCTTCTGTCCTGCTTCGGTCCTTTGCATTCTTTCTCATGTCTACAGGAGCTATGTCTTATACCTCAGACTAGTGCTTTGTGCAATGTTTTACCTGATAGTGTATCTTAAAAATGATGACACTGGTACAGCTTGTAGGGGTAGACAGAAGAGGTTTGTCCAGCGACACTATGGTTGAGAAGCTCTGCCCCAGACACCTAAATGGAGACTAGTTATGGATTCATCACTATAACCCCCCCATTTTTGGTTTTCCTCTTTGCCTTATTGGGGACAGAATCCGAGAATGACCCAGCTTTGCATTCTGACATTCTCCAACACTGTGCACTGGAAATTATGTCTATCTCCCACCCCTCTACTTCCACCCCCACCATTTCCTTTGAATCAGAGGCCATTTGATGCTTTATGTATGTAAAATGTCTAGCATTTTTCTGGCACATGGGTAAGCATTCAAAACATGCTAGCCTAGTCCCCCTCTGTCCTATCCTAACATAAGTAGCAGGAAAGTAACTGGATCATATGGCAACAATATATCCCAGATTTTCTGGGACAACCCCAAATTTAAATACAGTCATGTACCACATAATGAGATCTCAGTCAATGACAGACCACATATACAATGGGGATCTCATGAAATTGTAAAACCATGTTTTAACTGTGCCTTTTCTATGGTTAGGTATGTTTAGATACACAAATACTTACCGTTGTGCTACAGTCACCTACAGTATTCAGTATAGTAACATGCTGTACAGGTTTGTAGCCTGGGAGCATAGGCTATATGTAGCCTAGGGGAGTAGTAGGCTATACCTCAAGAATTGTGTAACTACACTTTATGATATTTGCACAAAGACAAAAATCACCCAACAACACTTTTTTTAGAACATACTCTCACTGTTAACATTCGCATAACAGTAATTTTATCTTTTTCAAAAAGGTATCATTTTCGATGTATAATTACATGAAATTTAATTTCTAAAGGAAGATTTCTGCAGATATTGTGGCAGGCAGAATTCTTCTAAGATGGCACCAAGAATTTCTGCTCACTACTTCCTGTATATTCCCTGCCTAATCCCAGGCCTGTGTATATGATGGATTTTACGCTCATAATGAGGTGGTGTTGTATGGCTCAGTTGACCGCAAGATAGGGAGATTTTCCAGGTGGGCCTGACCATATCACAGCAGCCTTTCAAGGCTGGGGGTTTTCTCTGGCTAGTTGCAGAAGAAGTCAGAGAGTCAAAGTCCAAGAAGGATTCAATGTGTCATTGCTGGATGGAAAATGAAGAGGGCCATGTGGTAAGGAATATAGGTAGCCTCTGGGAACTGAGAGCTGATCCAGACAAGAACACCACCTGATCAACACCTTGGTTTCAGCCTTGTAATACCCTGAACCCAGAGCCCAGCAACAGCCTACCAGGCTTTTGACAGACAGATCTGTGAGCTCACTGAGTATTTTAAGCTGCTAAATGTATGATGATTTGTTACATAGCAAAACAAATGAATACAGGTGTAAAATAACTTATAAATAATATTCAATATTTTATTACATAAAATAAGTTCACCACTTTTAAGTGGCTAGCTCAATGAGTTTTAACAAATTTATTAGGTTGTGCAACCACTCTCTCAATCAAATATAAAGCATTGCTATCACTCCACAAGTTTCCTTGAGGGGCACAAGGGAACTTTTGGAGTGATGGCAATCAGTTCTCTCCCTCAATCCGTGGTCCCTAAGCTACCTACCTATTTTCTGTTTCTATCCCTTTCTGCCTTTTCTAGACTCTATATAAGTGGAACACAGTGTATGTAACCTTTTGTGTCTGATTTCTTTCACTTCACATAATGCATCTGAGATTCATCTGTGTCATTGCATTGTGTGTTAGGCTATTCTTGCATTGCTATAAAGAAATACCTGAGACTGGGTAATTTATAAGAAAAGAGGTTTGGCCAGGCACAGTGACTCACGCCTGTAATCACAGCACTTAGGGAGGCTTAAGTGGGCAGATTGCTTGAGATCTGGAGTTCAAGACCAGCCTTGCCAACATGGCAAAACCCCTTCTCTACAAAAAACGCAAAAATTAGCCAGGAGTGCTGGTGTGCATTTATAGTCCCAGCTGCTTGGTGGGCTAAGGTGAGAGGATTGCTTGAGCCTGAGAGGTCGAGGCTGCAGTGAGCCATGTTTGTGCCACTGCACTCCAGCCTGGGTGACAAAGTGTCTCAAAAAAAGAAAAGAGGTTTAATTGGTGCACAGTTCTGCAGAGTGTACAGGAAACAGTGTCAGCATCTGCTTCTGGGGAGGCCTCAGGAAGCTTGTACTTGTGGCAGAAGGCAAAGTGGGAGAAGGCACTTCACATGGTGAGAGCAGAAGCAAAAGAGAGTTGGGTCAGGGGCTGGGGAGGTGCCACACACTTTTAAATGACCAGATCTCTCAAGAACTCACTATCATGAAGACAGCACCAAGCCATGAGGGTCCCCCCCATGACCCAAACACATCCCACTAGGCCCCATCTCTAGCACTGGGGATTACAATTCAATGTGAGATTTGGGTGGGGACAAATATCCAAACTATATCATTCCATCCCTGCCACCTCCCAAATCTCATGTCCCTCTCACAATGCAGAATACAATCATGACTTCCCAATAGCCTCCCTAAGTCTTAAGTCATTTAGCATGAATTCAAAAGTCAAAAGTCCAAATTCCAAAGTCTCATCTGAAGCAAGGCAAGTCCCTTCCACCTATACGCCTGTAAAATCAAAACCAAATTCGTTACTTTGAAGATACAATGGGGGTACAGGCATTAAGTAAACATTCCAAAAGGGAGATATTGGCCAGAAGAAAGAGGCTACAGGCCCCACACAAGTTCGAAACCCAGAAGGGCAGTCATGAAATCTTAAAGCTCCAAAATAATCTCCTTTGACTCCATGTCTCACATCCATGTCTCACACTGGTACAAGGGGTGGGCTCCCAAGATCTTGGGCAGCTCTGTCCCTGTGGTTTTGCAAGGTTCAGTCCCTGTGGCTGCTCTCACAGGCTGTTCAGTGCCTGGAGCTTTTCCAGGTGCAGGGTGCAAGCTGCCAGTGGATCTACCATTCTGGGGTCTTGAGGATGGTGGCACCCTTCTCACAGCTCCACTAAGCAGTACCCTGGGGGAGACTCTGTTGGGGGAGTTCCAACCTCACATTTCCTGTCTGCACTGCCCTAGTAGAGGTTCTCTGTGGGGGCTCCACCCTTGCAGCAGGTTTCTGCCTGGGCACCCAGGCTTTTTCATGTATCCCCTGGAATCTAGGTGGAGGCTGCCAAGCCTCCTTAACTCCTGCATTCTGTGCAACTGCAGGCTTAACACCATGTGGAAGTCACCAAAGCTTATAGTTTGCATTCTCCAAAGTGGCAGTTTGAGCTGTACACAGGCCCCTGCCCCTTTGAGCCCTGGATGGAGCTGGAGTGGCAGGGAGGAGGGAAGCAGTGTCCTCAGGCTTCTTAGAGAAGCAGGGCCCTGAGTCTGGCCCATGAAATCATTCTTCCCTTACAGGCCTCTGGGCCTGGGAGGGGCTTCCCATTAGATCTCTGAAATGCCTTCCAGGCTTTTTTCCCATTGTCTTGGATATTAACACTTGGCTCCTTTTTAGTTATGCAAATATTTCTAAAAAGTGTTTGTTCCATGGCCTGCCTGTATTCCCCTCCCCAGAAAAGTCTTTTCTTTCTTTGCCACGTGGCTAAGCTACAAATTTTCCAAACTTTTATGCTCTGCTTCCTGTTTAAATATAAATTCCAACTTTAAGTCATTTCTTTGCTCCCACGTCTGAGCCTAAGCTATTAGAAGCAGCCAGGCAAACTCTTGAATGCTTTGCTGCTTAGCAATTTCTTCCACCAGTTACCCTAAATCATCACTCTGAAGCTCAACCTTCCACAGGTCCCTAGGGCATAAACATAATGCAGCCAAGCTCTTTGCTAAGGCATAACAAGGGGGGCCTTTACCCCAGTTCCCAATAAGTTCCTCATTTCCATCTGAGACCTCATTGACCTGGACTTCACTGTCGATATCACTACCGGCATTTTGGTTACAACTAGTTAATTAGTCTGTAGGAAATTCCAAGCTTTTCTTATCTGCCTGTCTTCTTCTGAGCCCTCCAAACTCTTCCAACCTCTGCCTGCTATCCAGTTCCAAAGTTGCTTCCACATTTTTATGTATGTTTATAGCATTGTCCCACTCCTCAGTACCAATTTTCTGTATCGGGTCATTCTAGCATTGTTATAAAGAAATACTTGAGACTGGGTTATTTATAAATAAAAGAGGTTTAGTTAGCTCATAGTTCTGCAGGCTTTATAGGAGGCATGGTGCTGGCATCTGCTTGGCTTCTGGTGAAGCCTCAGTGAGCTTTGAATCATGGCAGAAGGTGAAGTGGGAGCAGGCATATCACAAGGCAAAATCAGGAGCAAGCACATGTGCTCATGTGTGAGAGAAAGAGAGAGAGAGGGAAAGAGAAAGAAAGAGAGATAGAGGGAAAGAGAAAGAGAGAGGGTGTGTGTGGGGAAAGGGGAGGTGCGACACACTCTTAAATGACCAGATCTTGTGAGAACTCATGATCACAAAGACAGCACCAAGCCATGAGGAATCTGTCCCCATGATCCAGATACCACCCCCAGGCCTCACCTCCAGCAATGGGGATTACAATTCAACATGAGATTTGGGCTGGGACAATTATCTAAACTATATCAATGTGTCTGTAGTTCATTCTTTTATTGTGGAGTAATATTTCATTGTATTATTATAATTTGTTTATTCACCAGTTGATGTATACTTGAATTATTTCCAATTGTTGGCAATTATAAATAAATACTCTGAGCATTTACATAAAAGTCTTTGGTGTGGATATCTAAGTAAATATGTAACTGTGAAATTGCTGGATTCTATGATGTTTGTGTTGAACTTATGAGAAACTGTCAAACTGTTTTCCAAAGTGACTGTTCCAATTTGCATTCCCATCAGAAAATTTTCTGTCTCACCAATTAATGGCCCAACACACTTGAGCAGTTATTCTTTTCCATCTCTTACATTCTCATTTATAAAGTGAGATTATCATAATCCCACTTTACAGGTCTGTTGTGATGATTAAATAATGAAAGATACAAATCAAGCACGAATCTCATCCCACAAACTTAGGGTTATAAGAACCGTAACTTTCTTATTGTCTCTACAGGTGAATTTAGCTTCTATTTCAGCCACCATTCTGCTAGATGATGGAAATATATTAACAGCCAATTGAGTGTCTGGGTGATTTCCAGGCAAACCCTCAGCCCTCCCTCCTCACCTCCCTGCAGTAAACCTCAGTTCTGGAGTGTTTTCTGTTGTGACAGCATGTGTCTGTGTAGGTGGACTAAGTATCTAGGTTCGTATCTAGGTACCTATCTAGGTTCCTATCACTGTCACTGTCATCCTCATACACACTGACTTCTGCTGAGATAGCTGTTTTTCAGTCTGGCTTCTGGGCATATGGCTCTTATAGACTCTGACTAAAAGGCTGCTGTAGGTTTGCCAATTTTCTGGGCTAGGTCTGAGACACAGAAGAAAACATTCAGGTGCTTCTGGTGCACTTGTAGGGAGTATAGGGACCCAGCTGGGCTGCCCTGGCCTGCCTGTCTGAACACGTTGTATAGCCACTTCAGGTCCTCTATGAAGCTTGTAGCTTTTCAAGACTTGACTCTCTTCTTTCTCTCTGGTTCTACTATGACAATAAGAAATTATTTTTAAAAATTGAAACTATTTTGATTAATATATCAAAATATTATCCAGTTACCTTATATAAATTATGTGCAAGTACTACTAGGTCATAATGTCTTTATCTGGCATTCTTTCACTAAAGGCTTTAAAATCAATGTTCTTAACCCTTAATCTATAGACAGCATAAATATTTAAATGTATCTCTTTGTTTCCTTTGCTTTTTTTAAAAAAAAAAGCTTGCTCTCTGTTTTTTGCAAGCTTCATTATTTCCATTATTTTGCCTCTAGCCATGATCATTGCTTTAAACATTAAGCTCCTCTAGAGCAGAGATTGTGTTTTTTCTAGATATTACAGCCATTTCCTGATAGATGGTTCTGATAGCTCTTCCATCTTCCCTTCTCAATCACAAAAGACAAGCGGCTCACTCTCTCCACTATTCTCAAATACAGCCTGACACTCCAGCCAAAACAGTCTGCTTGCAGTTCACCTATTCACAAGTATCTGTTGAGAATCAGCCATTCAACGGTAACCATGTCCTGTATTATGAGGCCAAGGGGCAGAAAATTTAAAAAGTAACAACATCTAATGTTTGTTGAGCACTATACATTGACTTTTCTAAATGTTTTACGTGTGTTATTTTATTGGGTAGTCCCAGCTCTTTAAGGTATGTACCTTTATTATCTCAGTTTTACAGATGAGAAATTCAAGTGGCTGAGAGGTGAAGCATCTTGCCAAAGTTTTCTCAGCTAGTAAGCAGTAGAGCCAGGATTCTAACCTATGTGGTCTGGCTTCCAAGCCAACACTCCCAACCGCCATGCAGAACTCAGGAGGTCTGTCAAGTTGCTACCAAACCTAAGGGCTGCTTATGTAGAAATCAGTCAAATGTGGTTGCTGGTTGCTGTTAGGAAACTGCAGTCATTGCACTTGAATAGTAATTTCCACATTATAAGTAACACTGCAGCCTAGTGAATTGAATGGTGACATGGTTCTCAGTGGTTTATAGCACGTTGCCATGTGAAAGGTGCCCTGTCTTGTGGCATGAGCATTTTTTCCCTGGTGGTAGAGCCTTACAGAGGAAATGGCTGAATAAGGCTATCAGAGTTTGAAAGCACTTTTCATGCCCTGTTCCACAACTTGTGCTCTGATCTCTCTTATACTCACCAAGTAACAAGTAACTTGTTATCCCCAGTATAGCACTCCACAGTTTACAAACCTCGAGGGTTTTTGCTCTTTGTCTTAATATGAGAGGCCGTTGGAGTTACATGCACCATCAAGTGCAATCTAACATTGATTTCCTGTTCAAGAGAATATTGAGTGGAGAGAACAAAGGCATCATGGAGCCATGGCTCTCGCTGTGGTCAGGGAGAGGAAGCAGGAGCCCAAGGAAGGGAAGCAAATGGCTCATTAGAGTGGGTGGTTAGGATGAGAGCAAACGGAGCTTAATGGACTGAAATGGTCAAGCTATGAGGAGAAAATAGCATCCGAGAATGACAAGGGCAAAACCAATAAAGAGTCAAGGTCAGAATTCAATAAAGAGAAGCTGGGGAGAAGAAATATTTCAATGTCCCAACAGAGGTGACTAAAGTGTCAAACTAAATAAGGGTGTTCCCCTAATTGTTTGAATAGGCCAATGGGTTAACCAATCTTATCCTTCTGAAGTACCCCCTCATCTCCCCAGCTAGTTTTGGAATAGAAAGAGGGTGGAAGGGTGGGGGGGTTGGGGGGGGGCGAAGAAAGAGAGAAAGAAAGGAAGAAAAATAAGGAAGGGAAATTACATTTTTCCTGAGGGTAGAAGGGAGTTTTATTCATGAATGTTGCCAAGTCTCAGAAACATGAGCTGTTGTGAGACCTCAGGAGGGGTCTTCTCTTCTTTTTCTGCTTTTCTGCTTTATTCTTCACTCTCTGTTTCTTTTTCTTTTTCTTTTTTTTTTTCTTTTTCAGGACCACAACAGTTCCTTAACATCTGTATTAGAGGCCCATCCAGATTCTTTCTCTGGTTTCCAATTCTACATTTCAGGAAGAAAAGATTCTGACTGGCTCAGCCTAGTCAGTTGCCCACCCATGAACTAAACAATTGTGCCTAGATTTGGGATCAAGTTGTATTAGCACGGCTAGTAGAAACCTACTATGTGGGTCAGGGTCCTTTCTTCATTTTCATCATCTCCCAGGCCAACCCACGTTGCTGTGAGGATTAAATTAAATAATGGGGCCAGGCACAGTGGCTCACATCTATGATCCCAGCACTTTAGGAGGTCAAGGTGGGAGGATTGCTTGAGGCCAGGAATTCAAGACCAGCCTCAGCAATGTAGTAAGACCCCATCTCTACAAAACATGTTTAAAAAAAGAAAAATTGGCTGTGTATGCTGGCATGCACCTGTAGTCCTAGCTACTCTAGAGGCTGAGACAGGAAGATCCTTTGAGCCCAAGAGTTCAAGGCTGCAGTGAGCCATAATCACAACACTGCACTCCAGCCTTGGCGATGAAGCGAGACCTTGTCTGAAATAAATAAAATAAAATATGTGAAGGGGTGTCATGAAAGTGTACAGTACTACTGCAATTCTTATAGCTGAAATATGTAACCAGAGGGAAGTGCCAAAAATTGCTTTTGTGGTAATAGTATTAGTTTTCATGCATTACAAAGATACCCTGGGTATATAAAGAATCCTCTAAATTGAAATCAATTTTCTTCATCTGGGATTTGATTCTAAACTCTTTTGCTTGCAAAAGATGCAGTGAGGCAAAAGCAGGCTTTCTAAGACCAGATCACCTGATCCGTACAGAAGATGAGTCTCGGAATTAGAAGGGGGTGGTCATCATTTGGTATTCAGAAATTAAAACAAGGTTGTTAAGCACCAATCAAGGATGTTTGAAGGGAAAAATGGCTAGATTTTAAGATTACTCAATAGAAATTGTTTTCTGGAAAAGAAGCCAATTACACACCCTGGGGAGAGTGCTTTATGTTGTTAGTGATAATTGTTCCTCATTAACTTTGCTGCAGAGACGCTTTGGTACACTATGCCTAGATGTGGATATGGTCACTTTCTTTGAGTTAAATGCAAACTACTTTAGACCAGATGGCTTCTGGTCTGTAGATTTCTATTGAATTTCCTGAATTCACCCTAAACTGTTAAAAAAAAAAACCCAAAAAACTAAAAGAAAAAATATCATAAGCTTTCATTTAAAATTTGTTTTAGAGATTCTTACACTTGAGATTACAGCATCTGATTTTAGCTGATAAAGCCTTCAATTCCATTCTGCTTCATGCTTGAAATTCGAAGCATTCTGAAAGGAATGCAGATGATTTACTTCTAACTTGCTGTGTTAGCTGGAGTAAATTATTTAACTGATTTGTGCTTTTTTTTTTTTTGAGGAGAGGTTACATTACTCAGCCTCTTGAGTGTTTCTGGGACACTTAAGTGTAAAAACCATCCTGCAGTACATTATCCAAAGTAACTCATGGCAGAGTCTGTTTTTCTCTGCCTTGATAGCAGTAGATTGTGGAGTTTTAATTACTAATGTACTTTCCATGAGGCCAAGTGATGATAAGATGCACCATCAATTTAATAGGAAATTTTCAAAGCAACAGTAGGGAGAGCAGAAGTATGTATCAATTGTAGTATACTTTTTAATTTCAGCAACATTAAAATGTAAACATTTATACATATTAAAATTGAGGAAATGTGGTGATGCCTAATTCCCAGAGATGTTCTGAAAATTAAAAAAGGTTCTCATTCCACACTGTTAAGTGTTACAATGCAAATATTATTACTTGCCTCACCCACCCCACAGCCCAGCCTTTAATAATATATTAGGGACTTGAAAAAAAATAGATATGTCATTCAATTTGGGGATCAAATTTTTTTGTGAGTGTCATTTTTTAAAGGGGGGACTATGTTATTCGTTTTTTGTTTTTTTTGTTTAGACAGGGTCTCACTCTGTCACCCAGGCTGGAGTGCAGTAGCACAATCTTGGCTCACTGCAACCTCTGCCCCCTGGGGTTAAGCAATTCTCGTGCCTTCGCCTCCCAAGTAGCTGGGAGCTTGTGCCACCATGCCTGTCTAATTTTTCTATTTTTAGTAGAGACAGGGTTTCGCCATGCTGGCCAAGCTGGTCTTGAACTCCTGACCTCAAGTGATCCACCCGCCTCGGCCTTCCAGAGTGCTTGGATTACAGGCATGAGCCACGACATCCAGCCAAGGGATATGTCATTCTCAACAACAGCTAATACACAGAGACTGTAGAACCAGAAGGAATTTTTTTTTTTTCTGAGACAGAGTGTTGCTCTGTTGCCCAGGCTGGAGTGCAGTGGCAACATCTTGCCTCACTGCAACCTCCACCTCCCAGGTTCGAGCAATTCTCCTGCCGCAGCCTCCTGAGTAGCTGGGACTACAGGCACCTGCCACCATGTCTGGATAATTTTTGTGTGTTTTGTTCGTTTGTTTGTTTTGTTTTGTTTTGTTTTTTGAGGCGGAGTCTCCCTCTGTCGCCCAGGGTGGAGTGCAGTGGCGCGATCTTGGCTCACTGCAAGCTCCACCTCCTAGGTTCACACCATTCTTCTGTCTCAGCCTCCCGAGTAGCTGGGACTACAGGTGCCCGCCACCACACCTGGCTAATTTTTTGTATTTTTAGTAGAGATGGGGTTTCACTGTGTTAGCCAGGATGGTCTTGATCTCTTGACCTCTTGATCTGCCCACCTCGGCCTCTCAAAGTGCTAGGATTACAGGCGTGAGCCACTGCACCTGGCCAAATTTCTGTATTTTTAGTACAGACAGGGTTTCACCATATTGGTCAGGCTGGTCTCGAACTCCTGACCTTGTGATCCAGCCGCCTCGACCTCCCAAAGTGCTGGGATTACAGGCTTGAGCCATCGCACCCGGCCCCAGAAGGAAATTTAAATTTCAGTGAATTTTATCCCCAAAGTTTATAATAGGGAGAAACAGAGGTTCAGAGAACTAAAATGACTTCTCTATATGCATATGGTTCATGGCACAGTTGAGACAGAAAGAGGACTTTTTATAAATAATGTTGACGATTGTTAGCAATTATGATTATATACAGTGAAGCATTGAAGCCAGCTTTGTAACTTCAGTTCAGACAAAGGAGTGGTAGGATGCTAATCCCCCAAATGCACAATGTTTTAGCAAAAGTACAGTGCACGGATAAGCTGATTTATGTTGTAGAATTGAGGTGGTGGGGATTGAGAGTGAAAGCTGTCAGAATCCAAATGGAGTCACTAATGTTAAAAAAAAAAAAAAAGAAAGAAAGAAAAAAAGAAAAAAAGCCCTGACAGAGCCATGAAGGGAGAGTTTTCGTGCATAAATACCTCGTAACAAAAATGACTACAAAAGACTCCAAAACCTACAATCTTGCAGAGAGGCCATCATAACCCTACACCAAAAAATACTTCTATCAGGACATCTGCCCAGCAACTACCTGTCCAGCCTTGAGCTGGCATCACCCCTGTTATTGATATTTGTAGCCAAGGGTAATTATTTCAAAACAATTATTCAATCTTCCTCATTTTTTTCCCTTAAAAACCTCTGTCTTCTGTTACCTCCCTGAATACACACAGAGTTTACTATGGCAAGCATCTTTCCATTGCGGTACTTTTTTCCCAAATAAACCTCTCTTCTTTTAGAGAGCCTGTCTCTTTGTTATTTAGGTGACAAGAGTGCATGAGAAATGCATAGGTGTAGAATTCTGATGTACTAGATCACCTCCTCCCCGTGGAAAACAAAACTACACTCAGTCTGAGTGGAGGAGTGCTTGAACTGTAAGTCCTTCTGTACAGGAAAGGAGTTACACACCCCTCCAGGAGGCCACCCCTACCCCCAAGCAGTTTGTTTTGGTCCGAAAATGACAAAGGAGACTGGACTTCAGCCATATGGCTGCTGGTTTGGGGCAGACCTGTTCACAGTAGAACCATAAGAGGTTATGACTTCCCTTGTGGTCACCAGGAGGCTGGGCTGAGCCGGCGTAAATGATGGCACTTGCTAGGGTCACAGAAATGCATCTTTAAGTGCATTCAATTACAGACCTACCCATACACTGCGTTTCTGACATGACCCTGAAGATTCCATAGCACATTTCTGGAAGGCTTATCTGAGAGTTGCAGGCAGGATCCAGCTCATTGTGGCTTTATCTACACAAGGCAGATGAGGACAAGGTTGTTACCATCTCCCATCTGTGGCTACTGATGCCTGGTTAAATAATTGTTCCAAGTCCCCTAGCTGAGGGGAAGTAGAGTCAGGTCTCTTAATGCTGTGCGATGCTCTATCTGGCCTTAGCTTGGCCTACTCTTCAACTTTGGCACAAACTGGAAGCAAGCTGCAAAGCCGGACTAAAGGTTCATAGGATTTTAAAACAGAGCCTGGCGTGGTGGCACAGGCCTGTAGTCCCAGCTACTTGGGAGGCTGAGGTAGGAGGATTGCTTGAGTCCAGGAGTTCGAGGCTGTAGTGAGCTATGATCACGCCACTGCACTCCAGCCTGGGCGACCCAGAGAGACTCCAACCGCCGCCCCCACAACAAAAACAGAAAGTAGGAAACGCCGTCTGTATTTGCAACTAGCTCGTTTAGTTCTCAGACATGAGTATTATGACAATATTCATTTGGCATTTCAGGATCCGAGCGAGGGAAAGCCTAAGCGAGCTGCTGAGTGGGGCCAGTGGTCCCGGGGCGTCCTGACTTCCAAGGCTCTGGGCCTTCGTGCTGCGGCCAGGAGCGCGTCGCCAAGCGCCTCCCCAAGGGTCCCCCTGCAGGGGTTCCTGTCCCCTAGGCACAGAGCCCCAAGCCCTGGGCGCAGGCTGCAGCTTCCCCCTGCCTGACCCCGCCAGCCTGCGCCTCCTCACCCGGGGACTAGCAGAAGCCTGGGCCCGCGCCTGGCGCTACGACTCCGGTCTTTAGTCTTTGTTTGGAGCACGGGAGAACCTGGGACGGAGGGAGGCATGACTTCAATATTCATATCGTTGTTAAATAAACGATTTCCTAATTTGTATCTGTTTCATGCCAGCGTGAAACTTCTGTAGGCAGAGCCGGCTGCGCTGCCAGCACTTTCTTCTGCTCGTCCCCACCCACCTCTGCCTCCCCCACCCAGCCTTCCCTCGGCAGCAGCGGGGAAGAACAGCCGAGCAGACCAAACAGCCGGGGCCGCGGGTGGGAGGCTGTTCCCGCAGCTCGTGGCTGGCGTTGGAGAATGTGGAGATTTTCCCATTCATAAAAGGAACGTCTCCGCTTGCCGCCTTCCCGTCCGCCGCACACCGCCACATCCGCAGCGGGGTAGGGCTGGGTCTGGGGGCGCTGGGTTCCCAGGGGTCTACCCGGGCGCGCTCTCGCCTTTCTCAGGAAACCCCATTTTGTGAGCGGCACCGCGTGTCCTCTCTCAGTCCGTGCACACAGTTGACCTGGAGCGCGGATGAGCACCCTTGGTTGAAAGGAAGAGACAAAATGGCTTGTGGTTCAATTCATAAATAAAACCTCACCCTTGGACTTCAGGCTGCCCGACATTTTGGGACTTGGATTTTTTTGCTTTATCGTAGTTTTAGGAAGCGACTGTCAGGCCATGTTGCCTATCCATTTCTAAACGACTGGCTTTTTAGGATCCCGTTTTCACCCTTCTATGGCGGTGGGTTGGGGGTGGGGTGTGGAACTGGAGTGGCCCAGGGAGACGATGGCAGGGGCGGGGCGGGGCAGGTCGTTGTACTGATTCAAGATACAATCTCCATCCAAATAATGGATTGTTATTAACAATGATCCTCCCTGCAAAACCCTTAAAATTGCCCCTTGATTCCCTAGCAGCAAGAGGCGAGCCCTTATTCGCTGAGCTGAAGCCTCCTCCCCCCTCCTCCCCATTACTCTCTGCTCTGGAAATTACAACTCCTCGGCGCGCCGCGCGGGGAGGCAGCGGCAGCGGCGGGAGGGAGGCGGGGAGGGGATTCCCGAGCCAGCCGGACGCTCGCCCTCCGCCCGCCGGCTGCAGCGTCGCGCGGCCCAAGGTCAGAGGCGCCGCAGGAGCAGCAGCTGGGAACCAGGGAAGCGGGTCAATCCCGGCCGCAGGGAGAAAGCCCCAGGGCGCAGTCAGCCGGCGTCCACAGCCGCCCAGGAGTAGGGTGAGCGGCTGTCTCCGGGCCGGTCGGGTCCCGCCGAGGTGGCCGCGGCCCCAGCGACCCGGCGGGTGGCGGCCCAGGGGTCGGCGAGCAGGCAGCTGGAGCCCCACCTTCGGCTCCCGGGCGCTGTCCGCCGCCTCGTGGTGCTGATCCCAGCCCCACGGCTGAGCGGCCTTCGCACCTGCCTGTCTCACCTCGCTATCACCCCGATAAGGAGTTGGGCCGGGGCAGAAGGGGGGCCTCGGGGTAGCCGCCCACCGGAGCCAGGGGCTGAAGCAGCGAGCGCACAGCAGCCCGGCCGCTGGTCCTGGGGTGGAGAGGAGGCGCGCGCTGCAGCCGGCGGCGGCGCTGGTGCTGATTCATCACCTAAAGCTCCTCGCAGGCCACCGCGAGGGCAGCCGACCGGCTCCGGAATCTGGCCGCAGGTTGAAGCCGCTGGTGCGGGACCCTCGGGCAGGAGGTGAGGACCCCCTCCCTTCTCTCGCCCCTCAATCATCTTAGGGCGGTGGCTACAGGACAGAGAGAGGGGCGTGCCCCTCGGCTGTGAAGTGGGCATGCCCGTGTGATGCCCCCGCCCGTCGTCTCACCGGGGCGCACCGCGCTGGTCCTCCTCCGCCAGTCTCCCGAGCTCCGGCCATTCATCCCCAGCGCAGAGCAGCGCTGGCAGCCGGCGCCGCGATGGAGGAAGAGCTGAAGTGTCCCGTGTGCGGCTCTCTGTTTCGGGAGCCTATCATCCTGCCCTGTTCCCACAATGTCTGCCTGCCTTGCGCTCGCACCATCGCGGTGCAGACCCCGGACGGTGAGCAGCACCTGCCCCAGCCGCTCCTGCTTTCCCGGGGATCGGGGCTGCAGGCGGGCGCCGCCGCCGCTGCCTCTCTGGAGCACGACGCTGCGGCTGGCCCGGCCTGCGGCGGTGCAGGCGGGAGTGCAGCTGGCGGCCTCGGCGGCGGTGCGGGAGGTGGCGGAGACCACGCGGACAAGCTCAGCTTGTACAGCGAGACAGACAGCGGCTACGGGTCCTACACCCCGAGCCTCAAGTCCCCCAACGGGGTTCGCGTGCTGCCCATGGTGCCCGCACCACCCGGCTCCTCGGCTGCGGCGGCTCGGGGTGCCGCCTGCTCCTCGCTGTCCTCGTCTTCGAGCTCCATCACGTGCCCGCAGTGCCACCGCAGCGCATCCCTGGACCACCGCGGCCTGCGCGGCTTCCAGCGCAACCGGCTGCTCGAGGCCATCGTGCAGCGGTACCAGCAGGGCCGCGGGGCCGTGCCGGGGACGTCTGCAGCCGCGGCGGTGGCCATCTGCCAGCTGTGCGACCGCACCCCGCCAGAGCCAGCAGCCACGCTCTGCGAGCAGTGCGACGTCCTCTACTGCTCTGCCTGCCAGCTCAAGTGCCATCCATCCCGGGGACCCTTCGCCAAGCATCGCCTGGTGCAGCCGCCGCCGCCGCCGCCGCCGCCCGCCGAGGCAGCCTCCGGGCCCACTGGCACCGCCCAGGGCGCCCCCAGCGGAGGCGGCGGCTGCAAGAGCCCGGGAGGCGCGGGGGCGGGGGCGACTGGGGGCAGCACGGCCCGCAAGTTCCCCACGTGTCCCGAGCATGAAATGGAGAACTACAGCATGTACTGCGTGAGCTGTCGAACCCCGGTGTGTTATCTGTGCCTGGAGGAGGGCCGGCACGCCAAGCACGAGGTGAAGCCGCTGGGGGCCATGTGGAAGCAGCACAAGGTGAGCCCGCGGGACGCGGGAGTGCAGGTGCCAGGGAAGAGGGTACGAGGAGAAAGGCTTTTGGCCTCTCCCTTGGAGAGCTGACAGAAAGTCGGTCAGAGGGTCAGGCAGGAATTACCTCACTCATTAGCCATTCATTCCATCAGATAGTCATTTGACAAACAGGTAAGGGACTCCCGGTACTTTGGACTGGATGCTGGAGATGGGAAGGGTATGGAAAGATGACTTATTAGGTCCCCACCCACCCGAGGTTTTAGGATTTATGTAGGCACAGGGCACCCAAAACGCAGACACAGGGCTCTTTTACTCCCAACGTCTGACTAATAAGTTACCTTGATGGTCCCTTTTGAGTTAAGGCATGCAGGATCTCCTTTTCCCCTCTGCCACCCTCAGCAACTTATGGCTGGCAATGTGTCCTTGTATCTGATACTGCGAGAAAGAGAGGAGCCATCAAAATCTGGTTAGGTCCTTGATCAGACCCCAAGTCAAGACTAGAGTTGGTTTTTCTAACATTCACCTAAATTTCCCATCCAAATGCCAAAGATGAGCAATTGGACTCACTTCCCCAGAGGTCAATGAACTAGGCCTGGCAGAGTTAGAATCTTGTGGGAAGGACCCCTAACCGCCTCTGGAACTTCAGACACCAATTATTCCTTGTAGTCTTACCAGTAAACAGTCACCGCAGAGGCAAGAGGTCTCCACACAGCCCAGCCAGAAATATATATTTGAATTGAGGAGGAAAATAAAGTAATTGGCCAAGGCTATCCAACTGGAAATAAGCAAAAAGGTGAGCACAGATGAGAGGAAGAGACTAAGAGACTAACCATTCCTATATAGATTTGTTGTTCATATATAGTTACTCTATAGTATTATCTGCTATAATGAGCATACGTTGTTATTATAATTTAACATTTTAGAATAACAAATTAGAAAAAACAAACATGAAACACTTTAGGAATCCACCTTTAAGAGGAGAATTTGCATAATACATATGAAAAAAAGATAAATATGCAGTCAAATCCCTAGTTCTAGAGCAGTAGTTCTCAACTGTGTCCAATTTTCACCCCTTACCCCAACCCCTCCCCAACATTTGGCAATGTCTGGGGACATTTTTAGTTATCACACCTAGAAGGTGCCACTGGAATCTAGTGGATAGAGGCCAGGGAAGCTGATAAACATTCTACAGTGCACAGGAAAACTCCCCAAAACAATTATCCAGCCCCAAATGTCAACAGTGCTCTGGAGAGAAATCCTGCTCTATAGTTACACAGACCTGTATCCAAATCTTAGGACTTGCAATTTACTAGCTGTATGAGTCTAGGCACAATTTAAAACCCATTGGAAAAAAATACCAAACTTAAGACAATTGCGGTAAGGATTAAGTATAATACTGTATGTTTAGCCTCTAGCAAAGCACCTTAAATATAATTGATAAATAACATTAAATGTTGCTGCTTATTGTATAATCCTAATACCTAAAACCAGTGAATTTGCAGAAAGCTACAGGGAAGTAGCAAAGAGTGCTTATTTGGCCTCACTGACTTGGTTAGCTAGAGAAAACATGAGCTGGCAACTTTTGGTAGTGTTTATGCTGAGTCCTAAAATAGCTTTGAGCTGAATCAGAATTGTTGCCTTGAATTAGTTATCATTCATATGATATTTTGTTGCATATTGCTTCACAGTAATTGTAGCTATCTTGCTTATTTCATCTTTTAAGTGAATAAACATCATTTTACAAATAAATTATTTGTAAAAAGGGCTGTGACCAATTACCAAGACAAGAAGTACAGATTCCAAATCTCACATTCAGATTTCACAAACTGCTAAATCTTCACAGCTTAGAGAGACAAAACTAATTCTGAGTGTTGCCACTCAGATGTTCAGAATTAGTGAAGAGTGGAAACCAAAGAGAGTTGAGATGAGAATTTGCAATTGTAAGAGAAATTAACTGTCTTACATGGAAAAGTGAGTTAGATAATGAGCTATGGTTTAAAGAACTAAGGTTATACAGGAAAAATCATTGGTCATCCCTGGCTTGGTGTCAACAGCAGTTTTATAAAATTTCTATCCTCAGCCAACAATGCAAAGTTATGAGGAAATTTGGGAAGCACATGTGATATTTGCCCCCTCGAGTGGGCAGTGTAAACTGTGGGAATATGACTATGCAGGATCTCAATTTTGTGACATCCTCCTAAATCCAGAAGGAACACTACAAGTTACTTTTGTGAACGCCTGTTTTCAAGAATGAATAGAAGTGCTGCTGTTCTTCTTCAGCAGGTGCTGTTGATTTCTACAGAAAGGGAAACTACTGAGTGCTTATTATGAGCATTTCACCTGGGGGCTGGCAATCAAAAGAAATGATCAATGGGAGAGCCTTGGTCAAACACTGTTGGTCTTGCTTTGTGGCTGGGCATCTAGACCAGTATGTATGCTGTGAGGGTGGCTACTTTTGAAAGACAAACTAGAACCCTCCATTAAGACTCCCACTGTTGGCAATTTAAGTTTTTCAGTAAAACATGAAGTCTCTGGATTTTGTTGTTGTTATCTAAAAATCTCAGAACCTTGACAAGGCCTCATTGCATCACCAGAACTAGAATTGGGACAGCAACATTTCTCTAACATTCCTGTGATTAAAGAAGCCATCATCAAAGCCTTGCTTTAATTTTTCTCTGGTGTTACTGCAGCTTACCTTCTGATTAGTGATTCTTAAGTAAAGAGACATATATGTGACACTGAAATCTATTTTAAAATAAGATTATCACCTTTTAAAAGCAGTGTAAAAAACTTTAGGTCTTGGCTAAACACATTTCTGTATGAATTTCTTGGGAGAGGATTAACTGTTTCAAAGAGCTTCTGATGTGAAGATGGGATAGGGAAGGGTAACTGTACAGGAGAGCTTTTGGTTGTTTGCTTCTTGATTATGAAAATCTGTTTTTCCTGAAGCTGGAGAAAAGGGTTACTGTGTACCATAGCTCTTTCCTAGTGTGACATGCCACAGAATGTCAACATCTATAACTCCTCACTCAGGGAGAACTCTGACCTGCTGGGTGCAGATGGCCAGCTCTGAATTAAACTGGGTAGGAGTTGATTCCTAAGTTGAGGTTAGAGAATAATTCTTTTTTCTTTATAGATAAGCTCTTCTTCTGGAGTTCTTTGAGAGCCATGGTAAATCGAAGAGCCTTAAAAGAAAATCTCACTGATACTCCAGGAGTACTATTCCCACTGAGTCAGCACCTCACAAAAGCAAGGGAGAGGGTGTGGCCTGGAAAGCTCAGAAAAGACAGGACTTTTGATCACTCTAATGTCTTTTTTTTTTTTTTTTTTTTTGAGACGGAGTCTCGCTCTGTCGCCCAGGCTGGAGTGCAGTGGCGGGATCTCGGCTCACTGCAAGCTCCGCCTCCCGGGTTCACGCCATTCTCCCGCCTCAGCCTCCCAAGTAGCTGGGACTACAGGCGCCCGCCACTACGCCCGGCTAATTTTTTGTATTTTTAGTAGAGACGGGGTTTCACCGTTTTAGCCGGGATGGTCTCGATCTCCTGACCTCGTGATCCGCCCGCCTCGGCCTCCCAAAGTGCTGGGATTACAGGCGTGAGCCACCGCGCCCGGCCGTCTTTTTTTTTTTTAAGAGATAGGGTCTTACTACATTGCCCAGGCTTGTCTCCAACTCCTGGCCTTAAGTGATCTTCCTGCCTTGGCTTCCCAAAGTGCTAGAGTTACAGGTGTGGGCCACTGCACCCAGCCAACTCTCACGTCTTAAGGCTCTGCCAAAGGGCAGGTGGCTTCTCAGCCTGCTGTCTTACCTTATTTTGTAAAAAGGGTATGTTAGGCTTTAAAGGCTCAGAGGAAACACCTCTTCTATTAAAAGGGATAATACATACGTGACAAAGAACATGGAGTCATAGTTGCACTGTGATCACAGGTAAAAATATTTTAATATTTGTAATTCTTTTTTTTTTTTAATATTTTGAGACAGGGTCTCTCTCTGTTGCCCAGACTGGAGTGCAGTGCTGCCATCACAGCTCACTGTAGGCTCAACTTCCTGGGCTCAAACGATCCTCCCACCTCCGCCTCCCAAGTAGCCAGGACTACAGGCACACCCCACCACCATGCCTGGCTAATTTTAAAATTTTTTGTAGAAATGAGGTCTTGCTCTGTTGGCCAGGCTGGTCTCAATTGAACTCCTGGCCTCAAGCAATCCTCCTACCTTGGCCTCCCAAAGCCTGGGATCACGCCTGTAGGCGTGAGCGACTGCACCTGACCAACGTATATCATTTCTGACGGCTGCCTGCCATTTCATCATAGGCATTTATATTTTATTTCGTTAACACCTTAATACTGAATTTTGGGTTGTTTTCTGTCTTTTGCTGTTACAAACATTTCGCTTGTTAAGTCTATGCCTACACTTTTAATTATCTCCTCAGGTTACATTTCTAGATATGGAATTGCTATGTCAAAGATACCTGATTTTAAGATAATTACTGTTTCCAAATTACCTTTCATAAAGATGACACCTACTTTCTTTTTTAATAACAAAATTATGTAAACAATTAAAAATTCACGTGGATAAAGACCACAGGGAGAAATGATAAGGTGGATTGTCTTCTTTCTAGTAATTATTGTTTGCTATTTTCATTACATTATTGTTATAACTATTTTTAAAAAGAAGATGACATGTATCTAGATTTTCATATTTTTAACTACTAGTTAGGGATCTTCCCTCAACAATTGATTTAACATGTACAGATATTGCTCACTATGACCTCTTGGATTTTAAGGTCTGTGAAAAGACAAGGCCTTGGGGGCCCACCTAAGGCATTTTTGGGTAGGGTTGGATGGGCAAAAAGAGTTAGGTAGGGAGAAGTGTTTCGTAAAAACTTTCCAGGGGGCCTGAAGTCTACAACTCTATGGCTGATGATTGTACACTTGCTGCCAACTTTAAGCAGAGTGTTTGGAGTCCAAACTGAGAAGAGTCCGCCGGGGCTCTCAGAGCATGTGGCATGGAAATATGCTCATTCTCATTCTGAGTGGAAGCCCTAGATATTTTTTTTTATTTTTATTTGTTGAGATAGAGTCTTGCTCTATTACCCAGGGTGGAGTGCAATGGCGCTACTCAGCTCACTGCAACCTCCGCCTCTGGGGTTCAAGTGATTCTGCCTCAGCCTCCCGAGTAGCTGGGATTACAGGCATGTGCCACCACACCCAGCTAATTTTTTGTATTTTTAGTAGAGACAGGGTTTTGCCATGTTGGCCAGGCTGGTCTTGAACCCCAGACCTCAAGTGATCTGTCCGCCTTGGCCTCCCAAACTGTTGGGATTACAGGTGTGAGCCACTGCACCAGCCTTCGATTCTTTTCTCTTTTTTTTTTTTTTTTTTTTTTTTTGAGACAACGTTTCTGCTCTTATAACCCAGACTGGAGTTCAGTGGTGCACCATGTCAGTTCACTGCAACCTCTGCCTCCTGGGTTCAAGTGATTCTCCTGCCTCAGCCTCCAAGTAGCTGAAATTACAGGCATGCACCACCACGCCTGGCCAATTTTTGTATTTTTAGTAGAGACAGGGTTTCTCCATGTTGGTCAGGCTGGTCTCAATCTCCTGACCCCAGGTGATCCACCTGCCTCGGCCTCCCAAAGTGCTGGGATTACAGGCATGTGACACCACACCCGCCCGAAGACTAAATTTTTGAGAAGTTGAATCTTTTACCAACTCTAAAGTTCTGGGAAAAGAAGTGCCTAGGCTGGCTTCTCTCCTATCTGCCCCAGACTGGCTAAGAACCAATGGCAAATCTGCTCAGAGCCCTGGGAAGATGAGCTGACTCCCCTAACTAGAGGCTGCAGCACTTCACACCATCTCTGTGCCAACATCACCACTGTCTTCAAGCCACCTTTGCTGTAGCCCTACCCTATGCTTAGATTTAATTCCAAGTAGGTTGGTAATTCAGGGACCTTTATGTTACACCTTTAAAATGTTTTTTTCTTTCTCTCTTTTTTTTTTGAGTTGGAGTTTCACTCTTGTTGCCCAGGCTGGAGTGCAGTGGTGCAATCTCGGCTCACTGCAACCTCCGCCTCCTGGGTTCAAGAGATTCTCCTGCTTCAGCCTCCTGAGTAGCTGGGATTACAGGCATGTACCACCATGCCCAGCTAATTTTTTATTTTTAGTAGAGATGGGGTTTCCCCGTGTTGGTCAAGCTGGTCTCAAACTCCCAACCTCAGGTGATCCGCCCACCTCTGCCTCCCAAAGTGCTGGGATTACAGATGTGAGCCACCGTGCCCAGTCTTTTTTTCTTTTTAATATGCTTTCCTTGTCACACACATCTAGGAAACAAAAAATGGGTTTGAGAAAAGAAGGCAAGAATCCAGAAACTTGAGTTGCTTTATCTTCTCTTTGAAGACTATTTATATAGAGAAATATAAGAAATTAAAAGTTGAAGACAACCTCAAAGGCTGTGAATGAACAATCCTCCTGTCACTATTCATGAATATATTTCATAATGTTTGCTGTGGTGGTCACTGTGTCGTTAAGGTATTGTTATATTTTTAGCCTGCAATGGAAGGGCTTTTATGCCAGTAGACATTCATGGTGATGGAGCTTACATGTAGAAATCAACAATATAGAGTGTTCTAGATGGGAGGAATCTCTTAATTCCTGAAACAGACCAGGGAAAGGGTCAGCAAACTGTGGCCCACTCCCTGTTTTTGTAAATAAAATTTTATTGAAACACGGCCACACTCATTTATTTACTATTGCTAATGGTTGCTTTTGGCCATGTTTGCTTTTGGAAGAGTTGAGTGGTTGCAACAGAGATGATGTGGTCTGTAAAACTGAAAGTATTTACTATCTGGCCCTTCATAGAAAATAATTTGCTCTCCTTTAGATTGCAGCCTTGTTGGTCGCAATCTAAGTGTGGGCCTCCACCCTGCAGCATCAGCATCAACCTGGGAGCTCACTGAAAATGCAGAATTTTTAATCTCAAACAGTTCTGCTGACTCATGATTTGTGTTTTAGCAAGATTCTAGGTGATTTGCATGTACATTAAACTTTGAAATGCCCTAATGGGACTGCTTTTAGAGCTCCAGGGTGCTAGGCCCATGACTTTCACTGAAAGTCATCTGAGAAGTGGATGTGTCTCCTCTAGGGGGCCTGAGAGCTTTGAACTAGTGTCTTATTTAGTTACCCTGGGCACCAGTCAGGATCTTTAGGTTACACAAACTCTGGGTACTGGGAAACCATATGGTGCTCAAAGACCACCTGGCCCAGAGATGGGCAGGAATCTCTAAGGGGTGGGAAGTGTCTGCAAATCTGTATGAGTCTTCTTGAGTTAGAGCAGAGGGGCCTGAGGAGAAAGAAATTCTGGAGAAATGCTTTCTGCTGCTTTCCTGGGATTTAAAATAAACCTACTTAGCTGTTTGTACCTTGGGTTTCATATTAGTTTGGGTCTTAGTTGTTCTCTAAATCAGCAAAGAGAATGCTTTATCCACTCTTTAGCCATTTTCGGTGGGGGTGCTGCCCAGGTAGTGGTGGAGGTTATGACAATCATAACAAGGGAACCTCAGGAATAGCAGAGAATCCAGACAGACATTGGGAGGGGGCTTTAGCAAATTCCTTCCTCCAAGTTTGGAATTTCCTTTTGTGAAGTTCTTGATGTGAAACTGAGGGTTTCAAAATGTTTATTTTCTAGGGTCTGCTGTTTTCTAACAGAGATTATGAGTCGCAACCTCTTCATTTTGCAGATGAGGAAACTTGAGAAGAAGGGGTTTGCTAAACTTGTACAGCAAGTTGTGAAATGATTTTGCAAAAAAACAAGTCTGGGCATGGTGGTTGATGCCTGTGATCCCAGCACTTTGGAAGGCAGAGGCGGGCGAATTGCTTGAGGCCAAGAGTTTGAGACTAGGCTAGCCAACAGAGAGAGACTGCTTCTCTATAAAAAATAAAAGCATTTAGCCAAGGATGGTGACACGTGCCTGTAGTCCCAGCTACTCAAGAGGCTGAGGCAGAGGGAATGCTTGAGCCCAGGCTGTGGTGTGCTATGATTGCAGCGCTGCACTCTAGCCTGGGCAACAGAGCAAGACCCCAACTCTAAAAACAAACAAACCAACAAACCAACAAAAACGGCCCCCTTTATTGCTCCTCACTGTACATTTTGAATAACTGTAAAAATGCAACAGAATGCTATATGTATATTTGAACAAAAACAGATGCCTATGGCATCAGCTGAGGAGTAGTTATGCATAGAAGAAATAAAGCATTAGCTGACAGCTATTTTTAAAAGTGGGGGGAACAGAGATGGAGCACAACCTCTCATTCAACTGGAATGGGGCAGCAGGAAAAGGGAATCGAAGGTGGGGACGGGATGGGGGAGCTTCAATGTCCTGTTTGGGACGAATAAGGCAAGAGTTTGGGGGCCAGAAGGGATGTGAGAGAGATCACTAGCGTTCCCTCTCTATTTTACATATGGCTACAGTGGCTACAGAAAGGAGATGTGGTGTGGAGGAGAGAGAGGGTGTGAAAGGATTCACAAGGACAGGGCAAGGTGAGCTGGGTTCTGGGAACCAGGAGTGTGGATGAGGCCTCAGTGACAGACGTATCAGACAGGATGTGGACACCTGCCAGCACTCACTCCAGAAGGAGAGGCTGGGCCTTAGTCACATGACATCTAAAAAAATCTGTCCAGACGGTGCATAGTTGTAAAAAATTAGGTCAAGGTTGTGTTAGGAAATTTAGACACATACTTGTATTTACTCAATCTCTCAATCCTTATAGTTTGATTCTGGATGATATCTATAAAACCAGGAAACCAGTGAACTATGAATACTCAGAAACAACAAGCCTCCTAAAATGAAGAGATGAGACTTTCTCTCACTCGATAAATTATTTGTTGCCTTATGGTTGGCTTTACCTATCAGCTGAGCTGTGTACCCACAACTAAAAGTCATCTCTAACACTTACTATAACGTAAATACTGATGCTGTCTCTTGACCATTACAGCCTTTTTCTGAGCTGATGCTGCTAATGATTATTTCTCTTTCAATTCACCTAATTACTCATTCAGTCAATGAGGACATCTTGAATGCCTATATATCATATCAGACACAGTTCTAAACACTGAGACCACCGATGGAATTTTCTTTCCTCAAAGAACATAAATCTAGTCACAAGAGAAAGAAAATTGACAAGTAAATGAACAAATAAATAAGCTGGATAGTGATAAATACCAAGATGGAAATAAAAACAATGTGATAAAAAATACTTAGGCAGGGCCAGACACAGTGTCCCATGCCTATAATCCTAACAATTTGGGAGGCTGAGGCAGGTGGATTTCTTGAGGCCAGGGGTTCAAAACCAGCCAGGGTAACATAACGAGACCTTGTCTGTATTTTAAAATACCAATAGTACTTAGGCAGACCTCTTTGGCAGAAAAGTTGAAAAACAATCACTGAGGAGGATGTATTCAAGCTAAGACTTGAAGACTGGATGGGAAAGAACCAGCCTTGCAGGATTCTGAAGGCAGCACATTTCACAGAGAAGACAAGGGCCAAGAACCAGGGGCAGGTGACGCCTGGTGTGTTTAAACGACAGAAATGGGCCAGTGTGCTTGGGGCATAATGAAACAGATGAATAAGGGGCAGAAGCAGAGAGCTAGGCAGAGAGGCAGAAGTGTACAGGGCCTGGCGGGCCATGCAGAACAGGTTGAATTTAATAGTAAGTGCTATGGGTAACCATCAGAAGGATTTAAGCTGGGGTGTGATGTTTCTTTTCTAAAAGAGCTCTCTGACGGTGGTTTGGAAAATGGATAGTAGGGGGACAAGAGTGGAGGCAGGATGTGTAATTAGAAGCTGTTGCAGCAGTTTGGGCCATAAATATGGGGACTTGAATTAGGAGAGAGGCAGCAGAAATGGAGAGAGGCTTATGCATTCATATCCTGCTGGGGGTTCTCTGAGCTTCTTGGACTTTTGGTTTGGTGTCTTCTATTATTTTTGGAAAATTTTTATGTACTATCTCTTCAGAAAATTCTCCTTCTCTATCCTCTCTCTTTCTCTTTCTCTCTCTCATCCTTCCAGAATTCCAATAACACATATATTAGATTGCTTGCTATTGTCACACAGTTCTTGGATGATCTCTTCTTTTTTCTTTTGTCTTATTTTCTTTTTTTTTTTTTTTTTCTATTTAGAGACAGGGTCTCATTGTGTTTCCCAGGCTGTAGTGCAGTGGCACAATCATAGTTCACTGCAACCTTGAACTCCTAGGTTCAAACAATCCTCCTGCCTCAGCCTTCCAAGTAGCTAGGACTAGAGGCACATGCCATCATGCCTAGCAAATTTGCTAATTTTTTTTTTTTTTTGTAGAGGTTGCATTTTGCTATGTTGCCTAGGCTGGTCTCAATCTCCTGGCCTCAAATGTCTCCTACCTTAGCCACCCAAAGTGTTGGGATTATAGGCATAAGCCACCATGTCCAGCCTTTTATTTTACTTTTAGTCTTTTTTCTTTAATCACTTTTTTTGTTTCTTTGTGTTACAGTTGGGGTAACTTCTATTGACTTCCATTTCACTGGTTATTTTTTAGGCTGTGGCAAGTCTAGTGATTAGCCCCTCTCCCTCTCCCTTCTCTGTCTCCACTCTGCATTTTCTCAGATGTCCTGCCCTTTCCCCAACAGTCTGTCCCGTCTAATGCTATGGGCCTGTGTCTCTTTTCTCTATCTTACCCAGGAAGAAAGAGTTTTTTCATTTCCCTTCCCTCAGCTACTAGAGGTCTTTGCTGTGCTCTGGGAGGTTGTTTTTCTTTCTTTTTAAGTTATGCTTTCTTGAAATTTATAAACCCTTGCAAACTGCCTTATGCCCTTTTTGAAACTAATAAATGCATAAATAAACAAAATAAGTAGTCTACTTGAATACAACCAAAGAGAGCTAGGATCTTCTGGAAAGTCTCATTAAGATAGTCCCCTAGTTGTGAGCAGTGCTGCAGTCACTGCTAGAAAAACTGAATGCTGCTTGGAAATGTTTGGATCAAGAAACAGAGATCTTCTTGGTCCTGCAGCCATGCTACTGCTCCCTGCCAGTCCCACACAATAAAGAGAACTTTGCCTGGTGCAGACAGTGCAGCCATTCATCATATTTCAAGTTTCATGTGAATGTCACCACACACCATCAGGTTGCTGGGAGGGCGTGAGTTTTACCTCTCACATTGGTTTCCTTCACTGAACTATCTGCAGCTATCAGTGATGAGTGTTTGTCCTGCACACAGTACTGTCTCCCCAGCAGGGTTCTACACCTGTAACCTACTGGGAATATGAAGATGCACAGAAGGGGACATCAGGGCACACCAAAGGCAGGAAGACCCTGCAGGGGGATCTCAGGAAGTGTGAGAGGTCTGAGTTTTTAGCCTACTTACAAGCCAACAAATTAGCCTGCCAGAGTTTCGTGGGTGCAGTCAGAAGACATTAGACTCCTAATTCAGAGATGGAGAACAGTTTATTACTCACAGCAACAGCAGGAGCCAGAACATCCACATATTGGGCCAGTTCCCATAAGGGGATGTGAAGAGGGCTAGATCATGACACCCGCACACGCAGCCGGCTGCATTACAGGAGAGGAGCCTTGAGCTTAGCGAACCCCAATCTTTTTACAAAGGGCAGTAAACAGCAGCCCATTGCTCCGAAGGGAGATACCGTCTCTATCTTCCAAGGCTGTCCTCATCCTTAGAAACATAGCCCAGAACAAAGAGCAGTCAGTGCCTCACTTACAAGATGTGGAGAAACACCAGAAACCCATGGAAAATTATCTTCCACCAGGAGAATTAAGTGAAAATTCAAATAGATCCTTGAGTGATTCCTGCCATTTGGGCCTCATGTGCATTGTGGGTAACTTCCCGAGGCTCCTCTGGTTTGCAAAATATCTTCTTTCAATTGGGGGCCACAGGTCTCAGGGCATCTGGGCAAAGCAAGGAGGATCTGTATTGTCATCTGTCAGGCTTCTTGCATCTTTGGGGTTTGCTGGGTGTCATGGGAGGGTGGAATGTGGGACCCAGCTAAAGTTTCCCAGTTAAAGCTGTTCAATTAAGGTGGCTTTCATTCCTGAGTCCATCTGTGTCCCTTCCAGGATGTGAAGGAGAAATGTCATCTTGTGGCTTTCCATATTATCCAGTCAAAACAATCCACTGGTTAAGAATTCTTTGAGTGCCTCCTGTAATCCATGGGCTGTGCTGCAGACACACTTAAAACAGGCCACAAGACAGCTCACAGCCTGCTGCAGGAGACCATTGTACAGCCAACCTGATGTATATGCGCCTGATATGAAAAGTGGAATAAGTGCCCTCCTTGTAATGTGAATAAACAGATGGAGGAAGAGTGAAGAGAAGGCAGTGAATTTCCCCCAGAGATTAGGAAGGGGAAGAGGGAAAGAGTGGTAAGTGGGGAAACTGAAGATAAGATGATGCTTGAGCTGGGGTCACGGATGGTGAGTAGGTTCATTATTCAGGAAAGAAAGAAAAACTTAGCTGTACATCATTGCATGAGGCATTAAAGAAGATGTTTAAAATATAGTTCCTGTTCAAACAGCCAGTTGATTATCTGCTGGTAGAGTGCCAGGGATTCATCCATATTTACACAAAGCAGAGAAACATTGATGAATATGATGCCATGTCTAATAAAAATGAAGGAACTCAGACTACCAATCCTTTGAGTATCTGAGCTAACATACTGGATCTGGAGACAATGGGGGAAAAGGATGGGATAAATAGATTCAGAAGCCAAATTTAAGGGGACATCTAACTTGACAGGCAAAGAAGGATTAAACTTTAGCCTCATTTAAATTTCAGTGAAGAACAGGAATAGCCAGGCTATAATCTTTTTGAATTTTCTTGTAAATTTCAGTCATTTTACCCTGTTTGCCAATACAATCTGGCAAAAAAAAAAAAAAAAACACCTTTCAAACATCTCAATTTGCTCAGCTAAGTTAAGGGGCTAGAGATGGGGAGAAAGGGGTAAAAACAAAAGAAGTGAGGAAACCGTAACATAAGAGATTCCCAGGAGGAAAAGGGCAGGGATATGGACTTACTTTAAAAGAAGGCTGATTTTGGTCATTTAAATGGACAGGAGGGCTCATCTCACCACTTATGCACAAGAAATCAAGAACAACACCAGAGCACAAATAATTGGTGCTAAAATATGTGGAACCATCCTTAGGTATGAATGAGCACGGAGCAGAGACTAGAGAGATGGGAGTTGAGTTGGGTTTCAAAGGATTGGAAGGATGGGGTAGGGGGTGCATAATTTGACGACAGAGAGAAAGCTCTAAGACAAATTCTCATCAGACACCTATTGTCACAGAACTAATTCTATTGTTGTTACAAGAGACCGGAGCTGACCTGATGCTAAAGAAGCAGTTTGGTTGCCGGGCGATGAGAACCTCCCCTGGCTTGGCTCAGCAAATGGTCTTGATACATTGGCAAAGTCAGAAGTCTGGTCCTGGGGCTTCATGCATCAGACATCCCATCCCAGGCTTGTTCTTGGTGTTATCAGAGCATGAGCTGATTACTCTCTGGTCTCTAGCCTTTCTTCACGGAAGTGAGACTTGCTGTGCCCAATTATACTTTCCTGCCAAATGGGATATTCTTACAGTCTCCATGGGCATTTTTACTAATAACTCCAGACAGCTTTAAAAATAAAATCCCATCTTGATTAGACTTTTACACCCATCAATGTGTCTTGCAGCTAACAGAAACTTACAGGATCTCTTTCTTTTTAAGACCAGCTTTATACATCATATGCATAAATAACACTATATTTTGAACACTTTGAGAACAAGGACTATGTATTATTTATCTTTGTAATCCCAGTACCCATCAGAGCATCTGACACCCAGTCAAGCACAAGAAACATCTATTTAATAAATGAATAGGACTTAACACTAAAATGTATTCTAATATCCATGCCATAAAGTATGATTTCAGAGCAGTCCCTATGAACTATTTGTTGAATCATAGAATAGAATGATTCATAAAGGAAGGGTCATTCCTGGGGACAGTATGGAAAATGAGAAGAGGAGGAATTATGCATTTTCCAGGGCCCCATATTGAAAAGAGCCATCCATGCTCATTAGCATGGCTCTCTCCTCCCTCCTTATGTGTGGTAATCATGTGAGAAACAGTCAGCTGAGCTTGTGACATGAAAAAAGCTGGCTGGGAAATGTTGGCATGACTTTTCCCAGATGTTAGCACTGCTTCAACTTTTGAGAGAACACTCTGAGTGTAAGTTTACTAGACTGACATTACTAAAATCATTGGTGCTATAGAGGCAGGAGAATACGGGGAATAAGAAAGCCAGTTGCAAGCCAACAATCCTAAAACTCCTCCTTTTGCCATGGACTGACGGCATATTAAATGAGATCATGCATTTTAAGGAATTAACAGTGTACACCACATGTGCGTGTTCAATAAAAGAAAGCCACTATTATCATCACGATTATTATTGAACGTCAAGGCTGAGAATGCTGTGAAAGGAGGGAATTGCTTTCCTGTCCAAGGCTGGGCACAAAACAATCTTAGTGACGGTGTCCTCTTGGGGTAGGGCTAAGAAGCAGCGTTTAACCTAATTGAGCTCACTGGCCCCTTGGCAAGGCCACTTCCCCTCCTCACACTGAACGGGTGCCTAGAAAGATCTATTCTGGGATTGCCTGGACCAGCTTTCTGCTCCATCATTGGCTGATATAATGGAAAGATGATTGGAATTTAAATAAAAAGATCCGTGTTCCATTTGGAACTATACGTCTTTGGATATGTTTCTTAACCACTCTCGGCCAGTTTCCTTACACACAAAATGCTGGTGTGAGGATGAAGTCAGATGAGGTTAGTAAAAGGTTCCTATTACACCTTCGGGGCACTCAGTTTATTCCTGAAAATATGAGAAATTTGGCCTGCTTCCCTTGTGTCCTAGAGAGCCCAACACCCATTTTTATGATGTGGAGAAAGAGTATATGCAATATGATTTTCTGTGAATATATATGTAAGGGTATGTATTAGGAGGTAAAGCTGTACATAATGTATTTGTTTGTTAAGGCTTCCATCACAAATTACCACAAGCTGGGTAGCTTAAAACAACAGACATTTCTTGTCTCACAGTTCTGGAGGCTGGAAGTCCAAAATCAAGGTGTCGGCAGGGCGGTGTTCCCTCTGAAGGGACCAGGAAGGACCTGCCCCAGGGCCCTGTCCCAGCTTGTGGTGGCTCCTTGGCTTGTGGCAGCAGAAGTCTAATCTCACATGGCATTCTCCCTCTGTGCATGCATGTATGTGTTCAAATGTCTCTTCTTTGTAAGGACACCAGTCATAATGGATTAGAGCCCATTCTACTCCAGTGTGACCCCCACCTTAACCAATTACATCTGTAATGGCCCTATTGGCAAACAAGAAAGCATTCTGAGGTCCGGTTAGGGGTTAGGATTTCAACCCCAAATGTGACTTTTTGTGGGACACATTTCAGCCTATAACACACGAAAACATTAATTAGTTGGTTAATGTCACAGTGGTCGTTAACCCATTTATGCCTGAGGTTGCAATTTTTTGAATTTTTGCAATCAGACCTTGGTGATGACCTTGAACAGTAGGATATGAATAACTCCCACAAGCTTAGCATTCCAATAATGGAACACTAGGCATAAATGGGTTTGGGTGCAACAACGAAACAAGAAGAGAGCTGGCAATTGAAAGAAAATTGAAAGTTACTAACTCAAGTAGGTTAAGCCCATTGTTTCCTCATACTCTGTGAACATATTCAGCCAGATTGTGCTCCTCTGAAGCTAGCAGAAAAGTGGGGAATTTTAGATTCCAGGTGTGAGTTGGGGAGAAGGACGGTTTAAGGTAGGGGAGGGGCAGTGTGGTGCTGATTAGAGGGCACTGGGTAGGGTCCTGCAGACTGGGCAAAGAGTAGGAGAAGGGATGGAGGAGAGATGGCAGGTTTCAAAGGGAGTCTTTTCATCCTCTCAACTTTCTCCTGTGCCTTTGTGACAGTCACCAAAAGTAAGTGTATTGAAAATGTGACCCATCCAGGGTTATAATGAGAAGTGTTATCATTGCAGCAGGACATTGCCCTAATGCTTAAATGTCCTGAGGTGTTTGAGGGAAAGAGCTTTGCTTTCCACTGAATAATCTATCTTAGAGTTTATCCTATGTGTCAACAAATATAGAAATACATTGGCATTTTAATGGGTGCTGAGTATTCAGTTATGTGGATATTGCATCATTTGTATTAATCACTATTTCTGAATATTTAGGCTGTTCACAAATTTCACTATTTTCTTAGATGCAGTGACCATTCTTGTATATACATCTTTGCATGCTTATCTTATTATCTCTTTAAGATAAAGTTCTATAAAAAGTCTCTAATTAAGAAAAAACACTCTATGGATTGATTTCTTACCTCTCGGTAAACATATGAAGCCAGGATACTGTCTTTAAGAACAACTTCATTCTTACCTCCCTCCCAGCGTGCTAGTCTCCCTCTCCTGCACCCCCCTTCAGATACTGTTCTACCCTAAGTCATATCTGGATGCTCCTGCCAAATCTATTGCATTGAAGATGGCAGCCTGGAGCATGGAGGAAGGGGGTGATGGTGGAGGAGGAGTTGGATGAATCAAGGGAAGGAAGAAAAAAGTCGCATGTGTTAATATGTTATTTATTTTTAATTGCCACAACTTAGAGGTAGGCAATAAAATCCCTAACATCTGCACTCTGTAGGAGAGTAAGAACTGGCCCCAGAGCACAGGGCTAGTAAGTAAAGCCAAGGTCTGTCTGAATGCGGAGGCCATGTTTGCTAGATTTTATCATTTGTTCAAATGTTTTCTGCTGTCCCTCTGGGAGAATATACTTCTTGTCCTATCACTCTAAGGCTGGGCCCTCTAACTTGCTTGGGTCAATGAAATGTGAGTGGGATGGATAGTGCCACCTCTCAGGAGAAGGTTTTTTTGTTTGTTTGTTTGTTTGTTTGTTTGTGATGGAGTCTCGCTCTGTCGCCAGGCTAGAGTACAGTGGTGCGATCTCAGCTCACTGCAACCTCTGCCTCCCAGGTTCGTGCGATTCTCCTGCCTCAGCCTCCCAAGTAGCTGGGACTACAGGCATGCACCGCCATGTCCAGCTAATTTTTATATTTTTAGTAAAGATGAGGTTTTACCACGTTGGCCAGGATGGTCTCGATGTCTTGACATCGTGATCCACCCTCTTCGGCCTCCCAAAGTGCTGGGATTACAGGCGTGAGCCACTGCACCTGGCCAGGAGAAGTCTTAAGAGCAAGGGTGTGTTTGGGCTGTAGCTCCTTTTCCTCTGCTATGAGTCTACTATGCCTCAAATGAGAAGCTCCTTCAGCCTGAATCCTGAAATGCAGAGGACGGGAAATAGAGCTGCAGGTGACCTGCAATGGGCACTCAGTGTCAGCAAGAAGTGAACGTTTGTGGTTGGAAGCTTCCAAGTTGGGGGGTGGTGTTTGTTACTGCAGCGTCACTAGCTTAAGCTGTCTGATACAACCATTCTCTCACCATTTCACTATCTTTCCTCTCTCTTCTGAGCCTTGCCCTGGTCATTGGCCAAAATGTTTCTATTCTTTCCTTTGGTCACAGAAAAATGAGAAAAAAGAAAAAAACTTTAAAAATCTAGCAGTGTCCTCTACTAGGTCCATATTTAGACTTCTTTTTAGACTTGATTTTTTTTCGTGGCTTTTTTTGCTTGACTCCCTGAGCTGTAGAGAGGTAGACATTCCCACCATACATTCAACTCCTGGAATAGGGCCCACTATCCAGAGTGAATAAACACTGTTTTACTGACAACCTGCTTTTCCTTTGAACTTCTTTTCTCTATTCTGAACCTTTTTTCTGGATAGTTTGATTTGGCTTAAAATCTATTTCTTCTGCTATAATTCAAAATAGTAGAAACATAAGCCTAGCACTTCTGGAGCCTGTTTTAAAGGGATGGTTTGGGATATTTAGCATACTTCCGCAGCATGTTATCCTCATATCTTCACATGGCCAGTGACAAATGAGGGCCTTGCTCTAGTAGGTTACCCCAAAGTGTAAGAAGTGAAATCGTGTGACTGTTCTAATATAATATTTCATATCAGGTGCAAAGCTAAAGTGGAGCTCTGGTCCTTGCTTCTGATCCTTGGTTCATTTTAGAAACTTCCCTGTCATCTTGCCCGATTAAAAACTAATTCACTTATTCAACAAATATTTATGGGACATACACTGGTAGCCCACGCAAAGATGAAACAAGCAAGGTCTCATCTCCCAAGATGGCACAATTTAGTGAAGGAAGAAGGAAATGTTCTCAGCTGTCCAGGAGGATAAGGTGGGAGGATCGCCTGAGGCCAGGAGTTTTAAACCAGCCTGGGAAACACAATGAGACCCTGTCCTAAAAAACAAATTTAAAAAAAAAATAGTAAATACACGATTACAGTAGAACAGAAAGAGATCCACATCTCGTTGGCACAGGGACCCAGAAAAGGGACATCTCAACAGGACTTGAAGGGGGAGGTTGCACAATCCAGCATAAGGAAGGGACACTTGAGCTGAGGTTTGGATGACCGTGGGGCACCGGTGCAGCCATGGGAAAGGGCACATCCAGCAGATGAATGGCAAGGGCACAGGCACAGAGGCACACAGCTCCTTGGCAGGTCATGTGAAGGTGGCTTGCATCTTGAGGGTGGGTACCGGCTCTGCCACTGTCTGCCCACTTCAGCAGGAACTGACAAGCCCAAGTCCAAGGGGAGGCATGGATTTCCCAATTACTCTGGGGTTGGCTCCTGCACACGTGAGCTTTTGAAGGTCATTTGGCCCTCACTGACTGCCTTGTCAGAGGAAGAAGCCCCCGTGTGCCTGCGGATATAGCTAATGACTGGAAGTCAGTTTCTGGCAGTACTGCCCATCAGTCCTGCCTCTTTTTATTTTGACTTCAGCATTAAGTTCTAGCTAAGAAAATTTGGTTGGTGGCTCTGACATATCAATCCTGGCAACTTAAAATTCACTGTTAACAAGATAGGTTGCTCCTCCCTGCAAGCCTTGGGGCAGGAGCTCGTGGGGAACTCCTAAGCAGTCAGGATTTTGGGAGTCAGAGTCTGAAGCTGAGTTGTGGAAGGGATAAAGAAGAGACCTCTCATCATCACCATCTCCACAAGCATGGACTATACCAAGGCTCAGCATGAATCACTAATTATAGCATAGCTGTCTTTGCATTTGTTGGGCATCCTAACCACTAAATCTGCTAGAGTCCTTTGCTCTGAGCAAAGGAATCCAACTCTGGCTAACTTGAATCAAAAGGAAATTATCAGAAAAATAGGCCAGGCAGAGTGGCTCACACCTGTAATCTCAGTGCTTTGGGAGGTTGAGGCAAGAGGATCACTTGAGGCCAGGAATTTGAGACCAACCTGGGCAACACAGCAAAACCTCATCTCTACAAAAAGTAAAAATAACAAAATATAAAAATTACTTGGGCATGGTGGCACGTGCCCAACATCCTAGTTACTTGGGAGGCTGAGGCAGGGAGGATCACTTGAGCTCAGGTGTTTAAGCCTGCAGTGCTTCATGATGGCACCACTGCAATCCAGACTGGACAACAAAATGAGACCCCCATCCCTCCCTCCCAACAAAAAGCAAAAAATATTGCTTTTTTCTTGAGCACTCACAGAATCAATACGAACTTTGAGAGCCAGGTTTGAAACTGTAACAACAGGGAGCACGTAGATAGCATTGAATATGTGCCAGGTGCATTTTACAGTTATTAACTCACCTAATCCTCACTATAGCTGTTAGGCACTTACTGCTATTACCCGCCTTTTGCATTTGAGGAAAATGAGGGCAGGGAGAGTAAGTGACTCACCTAATGTCACAGGGTCAGTGAGCTGGGATTCAAACCCAGGCATTCTGGCTCCCAAGGCTTCCCCAAGTGTGAAGAAGCAGCATATACAGGAATGCTCTGATAGCAGGGATCTGCTCAAGGAACTATGGAACAAACACCCATCTCTCCAGGTCTCTTTGTCTCTTTGTTCAGTTTTGAATTCCAAGGAGTTATCATCCTGCTGGCCTCGAATAGGGTGTTAACGAATCCACTGAAAAGGAATGTTTTTAAAAAGAGTCTTTATTC